>NC_000010.11:11979696-12131212 GCF_000001405.40 Homo sapiens | reverse complement strand
ACAAATGATGGGCAGTCACCGATATATGTTTGTTTATTTCGAGACGGAGTTTCGCTCTATCGCCCAGGCTGAAGTGCAGTGGCATGATCTCCATTCACTGCAACCTCCACCTCCCGGGTTCAAGGGATTCTCCTGCCTCAGCCTCCTGGGGAGCTGGGATGACTGGCGCCCACCACCACACCAGGCTGATTTTTATATTTTTAGTAGAGATGGGGTTTCATCATGTTGGCCAGGCTGGTCTCGAACACCTGACCTCGGGTGATCCGCCCTCCTCGGCCTCCCAAAGTGCTGGGATTACAGGCGTGAGCCTCTGCGCCCCACCAGTCACTGATGTTTGACAGAAGGATTAACTAATTGTCATGGGCAGATGTTTGTTACCCAAGTACTATTAGGTTGGTGCAAAAGTAACTGCGGTTTTTGAGAAGTAATTGAAAACCGCAATTACTTTTGCAGCAACCTAATATTTTGGATTTTCTGGAAAGTAAATCTGAATTATGAAAGCATTCATTGCTAACGCGAAACAAGTATCAATCACATCAGGAGGCTTCCTAGAACCTCTCCATCCCTTTTCCTCTCCACCTCAATCCAAGCCACTCTCAGATTTCTTGACACTTTATGATCATCTGTAAGGGGTATTCATGTTCAAGCAAAGCTTTTGGCTGCCCCCTGTCTATCCTTGTGATGCAAAATTTTACCACGGGTCTCTCCTACTCCTTTCTAATTTCCCCCAAATGTCCACTAGTTGGCCAATGGGTGCCCTGCTTGGGTATGCACGACCCATCATCCAACGAACATCTTCACAGCTATGCAAGTAGCTACGTGCACATATGTGGGGTTGAGTGTTACGGGGAGGGCCCTGAAAAACATTCCTATAACATAAGGCCTTGTCCCTAAGGCTTATAAAACCTTACAGTTTTCAGTAAACGCTACAGAATGAACAGTTTAAGGAAAACGCTGTTACCAATGCACACTCCTTTCCTCCCTAAAACACACGCCATGCATCACTTTTTTTAAAATTAAACGAGTTAGGGGAGCTTTCTTCAATGCAACATGCCAAGGAAAGATGACGAGGGAATAAAAACACGGGATTTCTTTAACTCCTGAAAAATTAAAAAGTGGTCCAGGTTCACCCGGTGCCCTAACTCCCCGCCCCCAAAACCAATGGCCTCCCAGCGCCATCCTCGCCCTCTATCAAACGCAAACCCCGGGCCTCCGGGTCCCGGTACCCGCCGGGCAAGGCCTCGCACGGCTAGGGGAGCCTCGGCGGAGGCCCCCGGCCCGTGCCCTCCGCTGAGGCCCGGAGCGGCCCGCGCATCCCTGGCCCCCACGACTCCGAGCGAGCGCCAGCCCCACCGCCCGCAGCCCAGGCGGGGCCTGCGTTCCCAGCCAGAGTCCCCGCTCCAGCCGCCGCTACTCACTGCCCATGGCTGCTGCTGGGGAGGCCCAGGGGGAAACCGCGGCCTCGGCGCTGCCTTCGCTCGACTCCCGCGGCTCGGGCCTCGGTACCGGCTCCCGACGCGATCCTACCGGCCCCGCGCAGGCTCCGCCCAACCCCGCGCAGACTCCGCCCTTCGCCACCTGACCCGCGCGCCCGACCGGCCCAGCCCCGCCCCCAGGGCGGGCCGTTGGCCGACGTCCGCTGCGTTGCCATGGTGACCACGGGCGCCGGGGCAGGGCGGGCCCGGTCCCAGGACCCGGGACCCGGGAGGCGGGGCTGGCGCGCCTGGGGGCAGGGCTCGGGCGGGCAGCCGTGGGGCGTGGAAGCCGCGCAGAGGCCAAGGCTGCGGGGTTCTTCGTCGTCTACAGGCTTTCGCGGCTCAGTGTGGAAAACCCGCCGTTTCCTCGCGCCCCACGTCCGACCCAGGCCTCCTGGGCACCCTTCGGGGAGGCCGCGATCTCGGCGCCGCCCAAGTAGCGCGGGGAACACGGTTCTGGCCCCGAGGCCTGGGACTGAGCCGCTGAGAGCGGACGGGACCGAACCAATCGTATTTTGCTTCCTTCTTTTTTTTTTTTTGAAACAGAGTCTCGCTCTGTCGCCCAGGCTGGAGTGCAGTGGCGCTATCTCGGCTCATTGCAAACTCCGCCTCCCAGGTAGGTTCACGCCATTCTCCTGCCTCAGCCTCCCGAGTAGCTGGGGCTACAGGCGCCCGCCACCACGCCCGGCTAATTTTTTGTATTTTTAGTAGAGACGGGGTTTCACCGTGTTAGCCAGGATGGTCTCGATCTCCTGACCTCGTGATCCGCCCGCCTCGGCCTCCCAAAGTGCTGGGATTACAGGCGTGAGCCACCGCGCCCGGCCGCTTCTTATCGTTATCTCTTGGAAGTTTGTAAACATTTGTGACACGTCGTTGTGTATAGTTAATAGTTATGAACTCCTCTGTCTCGACGTAAGCTAGTCCCCTCCGTCTTCTCCAAAATACAGAGATCAGGATCGTATGCCTCCTACCGTGGAACAGTTTTCCTGAAGCCACTGTTATCTTTTTTCTTTCTTTCTTTCTTTTTTTTTAAGAGCCGGTCTTGCTCTGTGGCTCAGGCTGGAATGGAGTGCGGTGACACAATCATAGCTCACTGCTGCCTCGAACTCCCAGTCTCAAGCGACCTGCCCACCTCAGCCTCCCGAGTAGCTGGGACTAGCAGGTTTCCGCCACCAAACTCACCCAATTTTTGTATTTTTTGTAGAGATAGAGTCTTGCTATGTTGCCCAGGCTGGTCTCGAACTCCTGAGCTCAAGCAATCCAGCTGTCTCAGCCTCCCCAAGTGCTGGGATTACAGGCATGGGCCACCAAAACCGGCCTCAATAATCTGTTCTAATGTTCAGATCTATGTTCATGAAATAAATTATATATTTCAGGGGGGCGTGCAATTTAGGTCCAGCTTGCATGAGTCTCTGCTGTACTTGAGGTCAGCTGGGACAGCCCCAGGGCTGGGGACTGGAATGATCAGGTGGCTCCCTCATTCCCCAGTCTGGCATTGGGTGCTGGTGTCAGCTCCAGCACCTCCAGATGGCTTCTCCAAGCGGCCTGGGCTTCCTCACAGCGTGGCAGCTGGGGTCCAAGGGATGTCCTCAGAACTGAACCAGCATCTTTTACTGCATTGTGTCTGTAGGGGCAGCCACAAGTCCTAGGGACACCACCTCTAGGGGAGATTGTGGCAAGATTCTGGAAGAACATGTGGGATTCAAAATACCGCTGTGGGAATTTTTGGAAAATCCAATCTGCCACAGTAATAATCTCCCATCCTGTTAATTCATCCTTACCTCACTCTACTTTGTATTAGTCATTTTTATACTTGCCTAATCTCCCCTGATATGCAGTAAACTTCTAGATAGAGTGGTCGTTCTTACTTTTTCTACTATGTACAATAGCCTACAAAATGATTGACTTAAGTGCAGTTTTGACACTCAATTATGAGCTAATTTCATGAATGCAATATCCTTTCAATAAAGATGCACTAAATTCCAGCCTGGGCAACACAGTGAGACCACGTCTCTATGAAAGGTAAAAAAAACAAAAATCAGCCGGGCATGGTGGTTTGCGCCTGTTTTCCCAGCTTTTCAGGAGGCCTCAGGAGGCTGGCTTGAGCCCTGGAGGTAGACGTTGCAGTGAGCTCAGATCGCACCACTGTACTCCAGCAAGCGGCGGGGGGTGGGGGGGGGCAGGGGGAAGATGCACTAAATTGAAAATATCACAGAAGGTGAAGAGTATCCTGTGCCTCTTTTTACTGCCTATTTCTGGGATAGTTCCATGGTTCAAGAGCCTGGGAATGAGCTTTGACACTCTGGATAAACTTTGTGAATTACCCTTCCACCATTCTTTTTTTTCTCTTTGAGACAGAGTCTCGCTCTGTCACTGGGCTGGAGTGCAGTGGCCAATCTCAACTCACTGCAACCTCCACCTCCCAGGTTCCAGTGATTCTCATGCCTCAGCCTCCTGAGCAGCTCAGATTACAGGCACATGCCACCCTGCCTGGCTAAGTTTGTATTTTTAGTAGAGACGGGGTTTCACCATGTTGGCCAGGCTGGTCTTGAACTGCTGACCTCAAGTGATCTGCCTGCCTTAGCCTCCCAAAGTGCTGGGATTACACATGAGCCACTGCTCCTGGCCCCTTCCACCATTCTTTCTACCACTACATGCCATGCCACCTAGGGCTTTTCCTTGTTTAACTGCAATGTGCCACCTAATCTACATCCATCCAGACTCTCAAGTCTACCTCCTTGATCTTTCATTGTTTTAGCACATCCAACAAGAAAATGTCTCTATGTATTAAATGCTTTGTCTTCTCAAATAGATTGTTAGCCCATTGAGGACAGTGGGCAACCCATTTTATCTTTTACTTCTGTGTATTTCTAAGGTCCATAAAAATGTAATATAGGGACTATATGTCCAATAAAGTATTTATTGATGAAATACCATTTTACTCTTAAAAGGTCATTTCTGGTGTTCAGTTCAATTTTAGCTGGATCCCCATATGAGTCAAAGAAAACAGGGACACGACACTAAAGTAATATAAATACTTTTTTTTTTTCTTGAGACAGGGTCTCACTCTGTCACCCAGGCTGAAGTGAAGTGGCACTGTATCGGCTCATTGCAACCTATGCCTCCCCAGTTCAAGCACTCTGCCTTCCTTATCCTCCCAAAGAGCTGGGATTACAGGCATGGGCCACTGTGCGCCCTGTTTAATTTTTTATGTATTATTATTTTTCACAGTATGGATCTCACTCTGTCACCCAAGCTGGAGTGCAGTGGTGAGATCATAGCTCACTGCAGCCTCAAAGTCCTTGGCGCAAAGGATCTTCTCACCTAAGCCTCTGGAGTTGCTGGGACTACAGGTACACGCCACTGGTCTGACTTAAATAATTTTTAAAAATTAGACTGGGTGTGGTGGCTCATGCCTGTAATCCCAGCACTTTGGGAGGACAAGGCGGGAAAATCATTTAAGGCCAGGAGTTTGTGACCAGCCTGGGCAATATAGCAAGACGTCGTCTCTACAAGAAAAAAAATTTGTTTAATTAGCAGGGCATAGTGGCAGGCACGTTACTTCTAGCTACTTGGGAGGCTGAGATGGGACGATCACTTGAGCCCAGGAATTCGCGGCTGCAGTGAGCCGTAATCGTGCCAGTGCACTCCAGCCTGGGGGACAGAGTGAGACTCCGTCTCTAAATAAATAAATAAATAAATAAAATTGCAATTAGCAGTGAGGAAAGGAGTCTGCTTTAGATTGTGCTTTATCAGATTTAAATAAAATGACAATGAATTACTATTTCTATAGAGTAAGAGCTTTTGGGGTTTTTTAATTGATGAATGCTAGATGTACATACTTTCAAGGTGCATGTGATAATTTAATACATTCATATAATTTGTAAATATCAAATTGGTGTATTTGGGATATCCATCACCTTAAATATTTGTCTTTTCTTTATGATAGAACCATTTGAATTCTCCTCTAGCTATTTCACAATGTATAGTAGATATTGTAAACTATGGTCACCTACTGATTAAACTATGGTCACCTACCGATCCATCTAACAGTAGGTCTTATTTCTTCTATCCAACCATATATTTGTACCCATTAATCTACTTCTTTTCATCACCCCACCCCTTCCCCTCCCGACCTCTGATACCACCGATCTACTCTCTATCTTCATGAGATCCACTTTTTTTTTTTTTTTTTTGAGATGGAGTCTTGCTCTTGTCACCTTGGCTGGAGTGAAATGGCATGATCTCAGCTCACTGCAACCTCTGCCTCCTGGGTTCAAGCAATTCTCCTGCCTCAGCCTCCCCAGTAGCTGGGATTTACAGGCATCCGCTACCACGCCCGGCTAATTTTTTGTATTTTTAGTAGAGACAGGGTTTCACCCTCTTGGCCAGGCTGGTCTCAAACTCCTGAGCTCAGGTGATCCACCCGCCTTGGCCTCCCAAGGGGCTGGGATTACAGGCATGAGCTACCGCGCCTGGCCAAAATCCACTTTTTAAGCTCCCATGTGAGTGAGAATATCCAAGTTTTGTCTTTCTGTGCTTGACTTACTTCACGTAACATGATGACTTCCAGTTCCATCCATGTTGCTACAAATGACAAGATTTTATTTTTTTTAAATGGCTGAATAATATTCCATGGTGTATATGTAACTTATTTTCTTTAATATCCAAATACATATAAGAAAAATGTAGGTGAAGCTTTTGGAACCTAAAGACTCAACAGTCTTGATCCTTAATCTGTGACTTCCTTCCAGTGTAATCTTTTTTTTTTTTTTTTTGGGCGGGGTAACCCTTTCATTTCTTCAATTTTGTAAAAGGGCCAGGTGTGGTGGCTCACGCCTGTAATCTCAGCACTTTAAGAGGCCAAAGCGGCCTAACGCTGACACAGAATCACTTGAACTAGAAAGGCGGAGGTTGCAGTGAGCCAGGATCGCACCACTGCCCTCCAGCCTGGGCCACAGAGCGAGATTTGGTCTCAAAAGAAAAAAAGAAAACCTTAGTAACTTTATACTTGTATCTTATTTATATCTATTATTTATATCTATCTATGCCATTTTAATGTTCAATGAGGACTAAACCTTAAATTGGGTATTCAAGAAGTAGAAATAGTAGCAACCATGGAAAAATGTTAGTTTTGTCTGAAATGACAAATTATTCTTAGTAAAATAAAAAATTTTTTAGTGAGAATAATAACTATTTTGCTTAGCTTTTCTGTGTCTTGCATACACATGCTATTTGGGAAAAATACTATGAAGCTTAGACATCTTTAGACTGACTATATTACCTTTGAAATTTTATTATTTTTTAATAATTCCTTGGTTGACAATAAAAATACTATCCCTTTTACACTTTTTTTTTTTTTTTTTGAGATGGAGTCTTGCTCTGTTGCCCATGCTGGAGTAGTTCAAGTGATTTCCTGCCTCAGCCTCTCAAGTAGCTGGGACTACAAGCATGCGCAACAACGCCTGGCTGATCTTTGTATTTTTTAGTAGAAACAGGCTTTCACCAGGTTGGCCACACTGGTCTCAAACTCCTGACCTCAGGTGATCTGCCCACCTTAGCCTCCCAAAGTGCCGGGATTACAAGCATGAGCCACCACGCCTGGCCTACTAAATTTTTAAGGGAAAAAAAGTAATGAGTATTTGATTTGGAATTCCTCAAATGGTCCCTCCCTGCAAGGGAATGTAAAATGCTGATCCATGTTGCAGTAGTGATTGAGAGTAGAAAGGTTAAGCCAACAGAAGACACATTTCATGACTCGAGTTAGAGAAGACATAAAAAGAAACCATGAACAGACTGTGAGGTGTAAAATTAGAAATTTGGAGAGATCCACCAGTCACAGTGGCTCACGCCTGTAAACCCAGCACTTTGGGAGGCCAAGGTGGGCGGATCATGAGGTCAGGAGATCAAGGCCATCCTAGCTAACATGGTGAAACGCCATCTCTGCTAAAAATACAAAAAACTGGCTGTGGCACGTACCTGTAGTCCCAGCTACTCGGGAGGCTGAGGCAGGAAAATCTTTTGAACCCAGGAGGTGGAGGTTGCAGTGAGCTGAGATCGCACCACTCCAGCCTGGGCGACAAAGTGAGACTCTGTCTCAAAAGAAATTCGGAGAGATTTAAAGTAACCTTTTATTTTTTGAGACAGAGTCCCGCTCTGTCACCCAGGCTGGAGTACAGTGGTGCAATCTCGGCTCACTGCAACCTCCGCCTCCCGAGATCAAGTGATTCTCCTGCCTCAGCCTCCCAAGTAGCTGGGATTACAGGCATGCACCACCATGCCCTGCTAATTTTTATATTTTTAGTAAGAGACGGGGTTTAGCCATGTTGGCCAGGCTAGTCTCGAATGCCTGACCTCAGGTGATGCACCCATCTTGACCTCCCACAGTGCTGTGATTACAGGCGTGAGCTACCACGCCCAGCCTAAACTAACCTTTTACAAAGATCTAATCTTCCATCTCATTTTTGTGCTTAGACTTTTGAAATCTTTTAATTCAAGAAGTCCAGGAGTCCTGAGGAAAAAAAATGACAATGTGCTTTTATTTTTTTTCTTGTTAAAAAAAAACAACATTGGTAAATCGTTTTCATTAAATAGACCTTTGTGATTTTACTGATTTACATGAGTGGCACTAAATTACATGATTTATAAGGCTTGACACAGGAAGGATACACTGAGGTATATGGTAAGAAAAGGGATATGAATACTAGAGAAATGTTAAATTGATAACTAAGGCACACTTTCGGATGTGAATCATAAATCTACCACTGTGGCTAGAACAGCCTATATGTACATGGATTCTGAAAGACATGATCAGTTGCTGGTAAAAGTAGAGAGGGCCTGGGCTTCTGCCAGTCCCCTGGTACTTCCCACACCACTTCAGAGAAAAAGCATCATGACACAAGCACAGTAGATGGTAGAGGCCCCCAGCACTGAGTCAGGTGAAGCTACATGGTTCGCTGTTTAGTTACGTTTCCAGTACTTGGTTTAATTTCACAGTGAGGGAGTCGGTTGGTGATCTCTAAGAAATCCCCAAGCACCTGGTGTTGGGAAAGTCCCTCAAATAAAGAAGTGTTCTTTTCTTTTTTTTTCCTCTCTCTCTCTTTCTATTTATTTATTTTTTGAGATGGAGTCTTGCTCTGTCACCCAGACTGGAGTGCAGTGGCAGGATCTCAGCTCACTGCAACCTCCACCTCCTGGGTTCAAGCGATTCTCCTGCCTCAGCCTCCCGAATAGCTGGGATTACAGACACCCACCACCACGCCCAGCTAATTTTTGTATTTTTAGTAGAGACGGGGTTTCACTATGTTTTGTCAGGCTGGTCTCGAACTCCCAACCTCAGGTGATCCACCCATCTCAGCCTCCCAAAGTGCTGAGATTACAGGCGCAAGCCGCAGCGCCCAGCCAAGAAATGTTCTTTAAACATCACAAATAAACATACTGCATCAGGGACTTGTAGGGACAAGACTGATTAACCAGGGGCTGAAATCCCCATATCAGAAACCCCAGACAGTTAAAAATAGTAAGATATCACTGTAAGAACAATTTAAAGAAAAACAAGTTTACGGCAAAACAGACTACAAATCAATTTCATTATAACTAAAACTCCTTAATTTAAAAATACAGTACTAGAAGATCATCCACCCAGAGATTTGTATTTAGTAGGACCTAGATTTGCTAGTGTTGGGGAGACACTTCATACAGTGACTGGAAAGCAGCACCAGAGATTACATAAAATGAAAATATTAGTACTGCCACAGGACTTTCAAAAAGGAGGGGGAAAATTAATGAAAGTGACATGCATCAAACAAATCAAGAGGCAGTGTTGAGGTCATCTCCACGGAGCTGTAAACTCAGAAGTGTTTCCTGGTCATATATGGTCAATTAGGGTCAAGTCTGAAATCATCTAGATAATGACCTAGTTTTCCAGCTCACTCAGAGCTAAAATCCATAACACTATCATACTTTCCTTTTAATTTATGAGATGGAGTCTTGCTCTGTCGCCCAGGTTGGAGTACAGTGGCGCCATTTCGGCTCACTGCAACCTCTGCCTTCCAGGTTCAAGCAATTCTCCTGCCTCAGCCTCCGGAGTAGCTGAGACTACAAGCGCATGCCACCACACCCAACTAATTTTCATATTTTTAGTAGAAACGGCGTTTCACCACGTTGACCAGGCTGGTCTTGAACTCCTGACCTCAGGTGATCCAGCCGCCTAAGCCTCCCAAAGTGCTGGGATTACAGGCGTGAGCCACTGCACCCAGCCATCACACTTTCTTTTTTTGTTATTGTTTTTCTTTTGTTGTTTTCCTATTTCTACCATCACACCTTCAAGGATAAATTTGCTGGTTGCATTCACATATTCATAACCAGTTCCCCTGGTTATTCCACCTATTGCAGATTAAATCACGTATATCAATCCCAACATCTTAGAGGAATACAGTCTTTTCATGTTACCCAACAGAGGGGTTGAGAGAGTGGAGGAAGGAGGCCTCTTTTAATGGGTTTTTTTTTTTTTTTTTTTGAAACGCAGTCTTGCTCTGTCACCCAGGCTGGACAGCAATGGTGTGATCCTGGCTCACTGCAACCTCCGCCTCCCAGATTCAAGCGATTCTCTTGCCTCAGCCTCCCAGGAAGCTGGGATCACAGGTGCCCACCACCACACCCGGCTATTTTTTGTATTTTTAGTAGAGGCGGGGTTTCACCGTGTTGGCCAGGCTGGTCTCGAACTCCTGACCTCAGGTGATCCACCAGCCTTGGCCTCCCAAAGTGCTGGGATTACAGGCATGTGCCACCCCACCCGGCCTTAATGGCCATTTTCTTAAAGAGAAATAGTGTTTCTTCAAAAGTCATCATCAAGCGAAGGTCTTGGCGAGGATATCTTCATGCTGGTGCAAGTGAACTGTGCCAATTCCTACAGCGGGTACTGGCAAAGGGGGCCGGCCCACCAGACGGAGCTATAAGTGCAGCAGAGAAGAAATAAAATGACATTTTGACTAGATCAGAGCTCTGCTTAGTTCCAACAAGACAGTGCATGTATTTCTCTTAGCTTGTTTAACCATAAATCACCTCTTTCAAATAATGAGTTACGCAGAAGAGATTAGAGGGACAGGGCTCCGTGCCTCAATGCCTGTAATCCCAGCGCTTTGGGAGGCCGAGGTGGGCGGATCACGAGGTCAGGAGATTGAGACTATCCTGGCTAACATGGTGAAACCCCGTCTCTACTAAAAATACAAAAAAAATTTAGCTGGGTGTGGTGGCGGGCGCCTGTAGTCCCAGCTACTTGGGAGGCTGAGGCAGGAGAATGGCGTGAACCCGGGGGGCGGAGCTTGCAGTGAGCTGAGATTGCGCCACTGCACTCCAGCCTGGGCAACAGAGTGAGACTCTGTCTCAAAAAAAAAAAAGAAAGAAAGAAAGAAAAGAAAAACAACATGCACACAAAACACAAAACACTACCAGAGAAAACGTGTGATTACCTTGCAGGCCAGCTGCTTTTCAAACCTTGGAGAAACAAACGACCACGGACCCATGTTCTGAGGTTCCTCCTGACTCCAAATATGATCTATGAGAGAAGAAATTCTTTCAGCACCTCAAGTAGACACATGCAGACGGTCCCCAATTTACTATGATCCCACCTACGATGGAGTTTTCAACTTTACGATGGTGTGAAAGGGATTCACATTCACTAGAAACTGTACTTCAAGTACCCATACAACAGTTCTGTTTTTCACTGTTGGTACAGTATTCGATAAATTATCTGAGATATTCAACACTTCATTATGAAATGTAATAGATTTTGTGTTAAATGATTGTGCCCAACGATAAGCTAATGTGAGTGTTCTGAGCATGTTTAAGGCAGGCTAGGCTAAGCTGTGTTTTGTAGTTTAGGTGTATTCAATGCATTTTCTTTTTTCTTTTTTAAGTTCTGGGGTACACATGCAGGATGTGCAGGTTTGTTATGCAGGTAAATGTGTGCCACGGAGGTTTGCTCCTCAGATCATCCATCACCTAGGTATTAACCCAGCATCCATTAGCTGTTCTGCCTGATGCTCTCCCTCCTCCCCCATGACCCTCGGACAGGCCCCATATATGTACCAAATTTTCTTTCTTTTTTTTTTTTTTTTTTTTGAGACGGAGTCTCGCTCTGTCGCCCAGGCTGGAGTGCAGTAGCGCAATCTCGGCTCACTGCAAGCTCCGCCTCCCGGGTTCACGCCATTCTCCTGCGTCAGCCTCCCAAGTAGCTGGGACTACAGGCGCCCGCCACCACGCCCGGCTAATTTTTTTGTATTTTCAGTAGAGACGGGGTTTCACTGTGTTAGCCAGGATGGTCTTGATCTCCTGACCTCGTGATCCGCCCACCTCGGCCTCCCAAAGTGCTGGGACTACAGGCGTGAGGCACCGCGCCCCGCCTGTACCAAATTTTCATGTTTTTGTGTCTTTTTTTGACACAGAGTCTTGTGCCCAGGCTGGAGTGCAGTGGCACAATCTCGGCTCACTGCAACCTCCGTCTCCCAGGTTCAAGCAATTCTTCTGCCTCAGGCTCCCAAGGAGCTGGGACTACAGGCGCCCGCCACCACGCCCGGCTAATTTTTTGTACTTTTAGTAGAGACGGGGGTTCACCGTGTTAGCCAGGATGGTCTCAATCTCCTGACCTTGTGATCCACCCACCTCAGCTTCCCAAAGTGCCAGGATTACAGGTGTGAGCCACCGCGCCCGGCCCAAGATTCAATTTTCTAATAACCCCCACCACATCTTTTCATTTAAAAGAGCTGAAATGGGTTTTGGGTATCTGAACATCAAAACCCAAATGAGAACAACCTCTTACCTTTAACATGTTTGTATTTGCTCATCTCTTGCTGTAAAGAATCCAACGGGAAGGGGCAGAGTTCCTCTACTCGGATGATGGCAAAGTCATGCTTCTTGGCCCCCAGAGATTCTCTTTGTTTCACCAGGGAGTAGAAATGTTTGCCGGAGCAGAACACGAGGGTCTTAACCCTGTTGGACAGAAAAGGAACAATAGGGTGGGGGAGAAATTTTTTAAAGTAAGAATTACGTCAGAAGAGGCCAGGTGCAGTAGCTCACGCCTGTAATCTCAGCACTTTGGGAGGCCAAGGCGGGCGGATCACGAGGTCAGGAAATCAAGACCATCCTGGCTAACACGGTGAAACCCTGTCTCTACTAAAAATACAAAAAATTAGCCGGGCGTACTGGCGGGCACCTGTAGTCCCAGCTACTCGGGAGGCTAAGGCAGGAGAATGGCGTGAACCCGGGAGGCGGAGCTTGCAGTGAGCCAAGATCGTGCCACTGCACTCCAGCCTGGGCGACAGAGCAAGACTCAACCTCAAAAAAAAAAAAAAAGAGAATTATGTCAGAAGAAACGGGAGACAGTGCAGATTTAAAGTCCTCATGAACAAGGTGGTGGGGGTCTCTGCAGCCGAGTTCAGTCACAGGCTATTCCTGGGGACCCTTCTTCAGCAACATGCGCCTACAAAGTCCACTTTCCCACCCACACTTAACTCATACTCCACTGACTTAAAGGACTTAGGATAGAGGAGGCCAGGCATGGTGGCTCACGCCTGCAATCCCAGCACTTTCAGAGGCTGAGGTGGGTGGATAACCTGAGGTCAGGAGTTCGAGACCAGCCTGGCCAACATGGTGAAACCCCATCTCTACTAAAAATAAAAAAATTAGCAGGGTGTGGTGGCGGGCACCTGTAATCCCAGCTACTTGGGAGGCTGAAGCACAAGAATCACTTGAATCCGGGAGGCGGAGGTTGCATAGAGCTGAGATTGCACCACTGCCCTCCAGCCTGGGCAATAGAGCCAGACTCAGTCTCAAAAATAAATAAATAAATAAATAAATAAATAAATAAATAAATAAAAATAGGAGAGGGGAGATCTGCATCACCTGTGATCTCTTAATGTGAACTACTTTTCCCATTAATTAAAATTCTGCCACAGAATATGAAAACAGAGATACATATCTTACTTTTTTGGATCCACAGATGAATCACCAATGACCGGGTTAAATGTTGTTCCTGGTGCCATTTCTTGAAGAGTTGACACGGCTGCCTACGAGGGAGAAGAGGCCACACATCCAGCAAGCAACAGAAAGAGGTGATGCTGTCACTTACAAGGGCCGCTATCAAACACGAGTACCAAAGTTCTAGCCTAGCACTGCAAGGAGACCCATGTCCTAATAGACGCAATGCCTTGCCAAAAAATATCAGTTCTGTATACTTCAGGGTAAAACTATGTTTCTGAGGTTACATAAGATAGCCTTTTGGAATCTTAACACTTTGGGAGGCCAAGGCAGGAGGATCGCTGGAGGCCAGTTCAAGACCCGCCTGGGCAACATAGCGAGACTCCCTTTGCACCCCCTACTCCACCATCCCCACTGGTGCCTTGCCTCTATTAAAAAAAAAAAAAAAAAAAAAAAAGGTGCCGTGGCTCATGCCTGTAATCCCAGCACTTTGGGAGGCCAAGGTGGGCGGATCACCTGAGGTCAGGAGTTTGAGACCAGCCTGGCCAACATGGTGAAATCCCATCTCTACAAAAATATAAAAATACAAAAATTAGCTGGGCATGATGGCGGGTGTCTGTAATCCCAGCTACTCAGGAGGCTGAGGCGGGAGAATTGCTTGAACCCAGAAGGCAGAGGGTGCAGTGAGCTGAAATCGCACCATTGCACTCCAGCCTGGGCAACAGAGCAAGACCTCATCCGAAACAAAACAAACCAAAACTGGCCAGTTGCAGTGGCTCCAGCCTGTGATCCTAGAACTTTGGGAGGCTGAGGCAGGTGGATTGCTTGAACTCACAAGTTTGAGACCAGCCTAGGCAAGATGGTGAAACCCCATCTCTACAAAAAAATACAAAAATTGGCCAGGTGTGGTAGCGCATGCCTGTAGTCCCAGCTACTCAGGAGGATGAGGTGGGAGGCTAGAAGTTTGAGCTTGGGAGGCGGAAGTTGCAATGAGCCATGATCATGCCACTGCACTCCAGCCTGGGTGACAGAGCCAGACCTTGTCTCAAAAAAAAAAAAAGAAAAGAAAAAGACTGGGCGCGGTGGCTCATGCCTATAATCCCAGCACTTTGGGAGGCAGAGGTGGACAGATTGCCTGATATCAGGAGTTCAAGACCAGCCTGGCCAACATGGTGAAACCCCGTCTCTACTAAAATTATAAAAGTTAGCTGGGCGTGGTGGTGCATGCCTGTAATCCCAGCTACTGGGGAGAGTGAGACACAAGAATTGCTTGAACCTGGGAGCCGGAGGTTGCAGTGGGCTGAGATCACACCATTGCACTATAGCCTGGGTAACAGGAAACTCCATCTCAAGAAAAAAAAAAAGTAAAAAGATTGCCTTCTGTGCTCATTTTGGCAGCACATATACTAAAATTAGAACACTGCAGAGAAGATTAGCATGGCCCCTGCACAAGGATGACAATAAAAATTAAAAAATGAATTTAAGAAAAGATTACCTTTTGCCTGGTGCCACGACATAATTTTAAGAATCAGGCCAGACGTGGTGGCTCATGCCTGTAATCCCAGCACTTTGGGAGGCCGAGGCAGGCATATTGCTTGAGGCCAGGAGTTTGAGACCAGCCTGGCCCACATGGCGAAACCTCGTCTCTATTAAAAATACAAAAATGAGCCAGGCATGGTGGTGCATGCCTGTAATCCCAGCTACTTGGGAGGCTGAGGCAGGAGAATTGCTTGAACCCAGGAAATGGAGGTTGCAGTGAGCTGATATTGTGCCATTGCACTCCAGCCTGGGTGACAGAGCAAAACTCTGTCTCAAAAAAAAAAAAAAAAAAAATTGCTGGGTGTGGTGGCACACACCTAATAGTCCCAGCTACGTCGGAGGCTGAGGCCTTGCTTGAACTCAGTAGGCAAAGGTTGCAGTGAGCTAAGATTATGCCGCTGCATGCCAGCCTAGGCAACAAAGCGAGACTCTCAAAATAACAAAAAAAAGAAAAAAAAGAGCCCCATCAGAAAAATGGTGCTAAAGGCATTGCATTAACTCTTCCTAAATGTTTGGTGATGCTTCCAGGCTTATGAGGTCACCTAGAAATATATAAGGTTGTTTGCGAAACACTGGGTGAGAAAGAACCGGTAGACCACTATAAGTGAACTAAAAATGAATGGCTGCTATTGGTAAGACTACTGAAATCCATTTCCTGGCTATTGACTAGATACTGACTCCCAGGGCCAGGCTAGGGTGAGTCAAGTAAGGTACCTAGTGCAAAAAGTTTAAGGAGGCACTGATTTTAGGGCCATGAAAATATCGCCCCTGAGAATGAGTACCTCCCTACTCCCCTCTGAATGCTAAAAACTGCTTAAAACAACGAGGCCAGGCATAGTGGCTCACACCTATAATCCCAGCATTTTGGGAGGCCGAGTCAGCCCAATCACTTGAGGCCAGGAGTTCGAGACCAGCCTGGCCAACATGATGAAACTCTGTCTCTACTAAAAATACAAAAATTAGCTGAGCATGGTGGTACAAGCCTGTAATCCCAGCTACTGGGGAGGCTGAGGCTGGAGAATTGCTTGAGCCTGGGAGGCGGAGTTTGCAGCGAGCGAGCCAAGATCGCGCTCTCCACTCCAGCCTGGGCAACAGAGCGACACTCCATCTCAAGAAACTGTTCAAACAGGCCGGGAGCGGTGGCTCATGCCTGTAATCCCAGCACTTTGGGAGGCCGAGGCGGGCGGATCACGAGGTCAGGAGATCGAGACCATCCTGGCTAACACAGTGAAACCCTGTCTCCACTAAAAATACAAAAAATTAGCAGGTCGTGGTGGCAGGCGCCTGTGGTCCCAACTACTCAGGAGGCTGAGGCAGGAGAATGGCCTGAACCCGGGAGGCGGAGCTTGCAGTGAGCCGAGATCGCAGCACTGCACTCCAGCCTGGGCGACAGAGCGAGACTCCGTCTCAAAAAACCAACCAACCAACCAACCAACCAACCAACCAACCAACCAACCAAGGGGTGGAAGCAAATCACTCGCAGCTTTTCTTCAGTACCCCTCAATTCCAAATATACACTCTCGAACCTTTGTGAGCAGCACAAGATATTCTTGAATGGCCAAATTCTAAACGTCTTATTTCACCTCAGCAGTCATATCCAAATAAATGTAAAAACTGTAATACTCCCGGCCGGGCACGGTGGCTCATGCCTGTAATCCCAGCACTTCGGGAGGCCAAGGCAGGTGGATCACATGAGGCCAGGAGTTCCAGACCACCTGTCCAACACAGTAAAACCCCATCTCTACTAAAAATACAAAAATTAGCCAGGCATGGTGGCGAGTGCCTATAATCCCAGCTACTCAGGAGGCTGAGGCAGGAGAATCGCTTGAACCCGGGAGTTGGAGGTTGCAGTGAGCTGAGACAGCACCACTGCAATCCAGCCTGGGTGATAGAGTGAGACTCCGTCTCAAAAAAAAAAAAAAATTTAATACTAATTCTAATTAAAACTCATATGAACCTGAAAAAAGTATAGCAGATGGGATAAATATATGCTTAGTAGTATTTATTATTTTGAACATTTCTATTTGGAAACTAGCATATTTTTGTGATTTGAAAAACAATGTACACTTAACAGATAAATAGGTAAACCTACGTATGTGTTAAATGATAAAATGATAAATTTCACGCCACTGCACTCTAGCCTGGGCAACAGCACAAGACTCCATCTCAAAAAGAAAAAAAAAAAAAAGAATGACAAATAATGCCACTCATTTTCAACAAAATACTTTGAATTCCCAAATTGCTGCTATCAAAAAAAATAGTGCTTAGACCATATGGGCTTTAAAACTTTTTCTTTTCTTTTTCAGACAATGTCTTGCTGTGTTGCCCAGGCTGGAGTGTAGTGGCATGGTCATACGTCACTGCAGCCTTGAACTCCAGGGCTCAAAAGATGCTCCCATCTCAGCCTCCTGAGCAGCTGACAGCACAGGTGTGAGCCACCACACCGGCCAATTTTTTTTTTCAGAGATGGGGTCTTGCAATGTTGCCCAGGTTGCTCTCAAACTCCTGGGCTCAAGCAATCCTCTTGCCTAGGCCTCCCAAAGTCCTGGAATTATAGGCATGAGCCACCATGCCCAGCCTAATAGCCTAAAAGCTTTTCTAAATAGTATTTCTGCTCAGGAGGGCACTAGTATAACATCTGCTATCCCTGTCCTTCATTACAATTGACAGAAAACCTACCTATCTTTCCAGGTAGTCTTAAAAGGCTGTTTAAAAAATGAAAGCAGGCTGGGTGTGGTGACTCACGCCTGCAATCCCAGCACTTTGGGAGGCCGAGGCGGGCGAATCACCTGAGGTCAAGAGTTAGAGACTAGTCTGGCCAAGATGGCGAAACCCCATCTCTACTAAAAATACAAAAATTAGCTGGGTGTGGTGGCACATGCCTGTAATCTCAGCTACTTGGGAGGCTGAGGCGGGAGAATCGCTTAAACCCAGGAGTCAGAGGTTGCAACGGGCCGAGATTGCACCATTGCACTCCAGCCTGGGCGACAGAGCAAGACTGCGTCTCAAAAAACAACAAAAAAAATGAAAGTAGCAAAGTCAGTTGAAACTAAAAAGGTGTTTCTGTAATTTAAATATAATTAGATATGGAAAATAGGGAAAAATGGAGTGCAAAAAATGACAAAAGGAGGAAGGCTTATTCACCACCTTCTGCTTACCGGGAGC
The DNA here is from genome assembly GCF_000001405.40 of Homo sapiens. Classification (NCBI taxonomy): domain Eukaryota; kingdom Metazoa; phylum Chordata; class Mammalia; order Primates; family Hominidae; genus Homo; species Homo sapiens. Next base: position 12,113,057 of record NC_000010.11, on the reverse strand, counting down.
CTGAGTAACATCTTAGGGGAAGCAACAATGAGTGGTTTTCTGAAGTTCCGGACCATCTGTCTCCTAAGCAAGTGGAAATACTGTGCAGGAGTTGTTGGGTGAACCACAAACATGTTCACAGTGTCTCCGTCCACCCCCTCTTCCGCACTGTCACACATCTGGGAGAGAAGTGGCAAGAAAGGAGAAGAATGTTCAGATCATCTATTTCAGTCGTAGTGACAATGGGCTGGCCAAAGGGAAACACAGGTGTTCTTGATTATAGCAGAAAAGCTATTGCCCAACATTACAGAAAAATATCAGCAGGTGAATTTATGAACGGTGCGGTATTAACCAAAGGAGAGCTCTGATGGCTTTCTCCACTGGCCCAATTCTGTGTCATCTAACACAATTGTTCCCAAACACGGCTGATAGCAAAGATAATCTGGAAAGGACTTTTTTAAAAAAAATACATATTCTGATTACTACAGGGTTAAGACAGGGGAAGGAAGCACTATCAGAATCTCACTTTCCTAATGTAATAAAACGATTGTGTGTGTGTGTGTGTGTGTGTGTGTGTGCACGCGTGCTTTAAGACAAAAATCAAAAGCAGCTAATAGAAAGGTTGAAAAATTGAGGGCAAGGAAGTTAAATCTCAGAAGATCCTGGTGGGACAGAAAGCTGAGGCATAACTCCTAACCCTTCCCCAAAGGCAGTGAAAGGAAAGAAAGAGAGTTGACAAAATCTGGACAATTATTTTTGTTGTTGTTACAGAGTCTCGTTCTCTCACCCAGGCTGGAGTTCAGTGGCATGATCATAGCACACTGTAACCCCAAACTCTGGACTCAAAAGCAATCCTCCCACCAGAGCCTCCCAAGTAGCTGGGACTACAGGTGCCTGCTACCACACCTGACTAATTTTAATATTTTTGTAGAGATGGGGTCTTGTTATGATGCCCAGGCTGGTCTCAAACTCCTGGGTTCAAGCGATCCTCCCGCCTCAGCCACCCAAAGTGCTGGGATTACAGGCATGAGCCACCATGCCTGGCCTCAATCATGATCATCTTCTTTTTGCATACACCCTTGATTCCCATGACCCTTCACTCCAACCCATAAACCTAGTTAATCCCCACTTTCTGCCTGTTCCATGTCTGCAGAGAAAGTAGCTGGAGACAACACAAAATCACACCAATGGTCTTACTTTAGAATCCTGACCAACAGTCTGAGATGGGCCCTTAGTGACCTTAGACTCTTAAACTCTATTTCCCTAACTCACTCATTCTCCTTCTTTCCCAGGTGACTAATTCACACCTTTAAACTCAGGACCTCCTCCTGCATCACCACTCTCAGCTAATGACCTAACAGCATGTCCTCAGACCATCTACACACACATTCTCACTTGCACTCATCTTCTCTGCCTTCCATTTATTGCCACCAACCATGCTGCTGTCTAAAGCTAATTTAATCCATCATGTACTAGAGCCCACCCCATTTTACCAATGCAAGGAAATCACTCAGTTATTCTATCAGCACCCCTACATCACCATTCTCTTCTTGTCTACTGGATCATGCCTATCACCAAACAGGCCTTATTTCCTACCTTTAACACAAAACAAAGGCCTGGCGCGGTGGCCCATGCCTGAAATCCTAGCACTTTGGGAGGCCAAGGTGGGAGGATCACATGAGGTCAGGGGTTCAAGAGCAGCCTGGTCAACATGGTGAAACCCCATCTCTACTAAAAATACAAAAATTAGCCGGGCATCGTGGCACAAGCCTATAATCCCAGCTACTCGGGAGGCTGAGGCAGGAGAATTGCTTGAACCTGGGAGGCAGAGGTTGCAGAGAGCCAAGACTGCAGCATTGCACTACAGCCTGGGTGACAGAGCAAGACGCCATCACAAAAATAAAAGAAAACACAAAAGGAACTCTTGACACAAATTTTCCCACCAGCTACTGTCTCATTTTCTTGTTCTATTTACAGCAATACTCCTCAAAAGAGTTAAGTTGATGTTCCTCCCTTTTTTTTTTTTTTTTTTTGAGACAGGGTCTGGCTCTCTTGCCCAGGCTGGAATGCAGTGGTGCAACCTCAGCTCACTACAACCTCCGCCTCCCAGGCTCAAGTGATCCTCCCACCTCAGCCTCCCAAGTAGTGAGGATTATGGGCACGCACCACCACCCACCCAGCTAATTTTTTTAGTTTTATTTTTAGCAGAAATGGGGTCTCACCATGTTGCCCAGGCTGGTCTCAAACTCCTGAGCAAGATATCCACCCACCTTGGCCTCCCAAAGTGCTGGGATTACAGGTGTGAGCCACCATGCTAGGCCAACTTTCCTCCCTTGAATAAGTTCTGGAGATCTACTGTACAGGATGGTAACTGTAGTTAACGTATTATATACCTGAAAATTACTAAGAGGATAGATTTTAAATGTTCTCTTCCCCAAAAATGGTGAGTATGTGAGGTGACGGGTCTGGTAATTAGCTTGATTCAATCAGTTCACAATGTATAGCTGTATCAAAACATCACATTTTATACTATTCATATATACAATTGTACATTTGTCAATTAAAAATGTTTAAATAAATACACTTTCCTTTCTCTAGAATCAGGAATCAGGGGTGTCCGATCTTTTGGCTTACCTGAGCCACACCGGAAGAAGAAGAATTGTCTTGTGCCACACATAAAATACACTAACACTAACAATGGCTAATAAGGTAAAAAAAAAAAATCACAAATAATGTTTTAAGAAAGTTTATGAATTTGTATTGGACCACATTCTTTTTTCTGGAGACAGAGTCTCGCTCTGTCACCCAGGCTGGAGTGCATGGCGCAATCTCAGCTCACTGCAAGCTCCGCCTCCCAGGTTCACACCATTCCCCTGCCTCAGCCTCCCAAGTAGCTGGGACTACAGGTGCCTGCCACCGTGCCCGGCTAATTTTTTGTATTTTTAGTAGACACAGGGTTTCACCGTGTTAGCCAGGATGGTCTTCATCTCCTGACCTCATGATCCGCCCGCCTCGGCCTCCCAAAGTGCTGGGATTACAGGAGTGAGCCACCACGCCCAGCCTGTATTGGGCTACATTCAAAGCTGTTCTGAGCCGCATGTGGTCCATGGACACAGGTTGGACAAGTTGCTCTAGATAGTCCTTAATATGTCCCAGACAGACTTTTGTCCCTACCACTCCATCAAAACCGCAGTCATCAACCAACAAATGGACTCTTGATTTCTAAATTCAGTGGTTCATTCTTATGCCTCATCTATTTATTTATTTATTTATTTTTAGTAGAGACAGGGTCTCACTATGTTGCCCAAGCTGGTCTCAAACTCCTGGGCTCAAGTGATCCTCCCACCTCGGCCTCTCAAAGTGCTGGGATTACTTCACTCCTCATCTTAATTGACACTGACACTCCCTCTTCCCTGATATGTTTCCTTCGCTTGCTTTCTAAGATCTTCCTCCCACCTCACTGGTTGCTCCTTCTTCATCTCACTTCTTCTTCTTCTCTGCATCCTCTGAGGTTGGACTATCCCAGGGCCCAGAGCTCAGGCACCTTCTCTCCTCCACTGTGCTCGCTGCTTCGATGACTTCTTCCAGACTCATGACTGTCAATGTCATCTAGTGGCTGATGACTCCGAAACTGTATCCCCCACCTACTCATTTCCTCTGTTTCTTCAACAACTAGTAGTTTTGCATTTCACATGTCATGCTTTAGTTTATCTACCATTACTCTAATCTCTTTTTAAATAAAATTCTCGATGTCATCATTAATGTAACTATCCATCTATCTGTTGTTCTGTCTACCTATCTATTAAGCTATCATCTGTTTATACATTTTAGCTGCACGCATGCCAAAATCATTAACGATATGCATGCTGAAGTACTTGGGGTGACATGTATTGATATCTCTATTTATTATTTATTTATTTATTTATTTAATTTTTTGAGACAGAGTCTTTGTTGTCCAGGCTGGAGTGCAGTGGCGTGATCTCACTGCAACCTCTGCCTCCTGGGTTCAAGCGATTCTCCTGCCTCAGGCTCCCGAGTAGCTTGGATTACAGGGATGAGCCACTACACATGGCTAATTTTTGTATTTTTAGTAAAGATGGGGTTTCTCTGTGTTAGCCAGGCTGGTCTCAAACTCCTGATCTCAAGTGATCCACCTGCCTTGGTCTCCCAAAGTGCCAGGATTACAGGTGTGAGCCACTGCACCCGGCTAATGTCTCCATTTATTTTGAAATGAATCAAAACATAAGATGCATTGAAGGATACCAGAATGACAGATGAATAGATATGTGAAAAAACAAGTATAATAAAAAATAATGGTGAATTCTAGGGAGTGGGCATATGAGTATTCACAGTAAATTCTTTCCAACTTTTCTGTATATCTGAAAGTCTTCATAATAAACTATAAGGAAATAACATGCAAAAGGAGACATTTGTAATGATTCACACCAAATGAGGACAATGGCTATTTCTGGCAGGATATTTCAAATGTTTTAATAACCAGCCAGGGTTGGTGGCTCACACCTGTAATCCCAGCACTTTGGGAAGCTGAGGCGGGTAGATCACTTGAGGCCAGGAGTTTCAGACTAGCCTGGCCAACATGGAAGAACACCAATCTCTACTAAAAACACAAAAATTAGCCAGGCATGGTGGCATACGCCTGTGGTCCCAGCTACTTGGAGGGTGAGCCAGGAGAATCGCTTGAACCCAAGAGGCAGAGGTTGCAGTGAGCCAAGATCGCACCACTGCACTCCAGCCTGGGCAACAGAGCGAGACCCCATCTCAAAAAAAAATAAAAATAAAAAAGCTCTCTGGGGGATTCTGATGATCAGCCTGGTATAAGAACTGCTGATCCTGGCACAAGAGAACTTTAATTGCCATAAAACCGTGATACAATTATACCTGAGGCATTACGTTTCCAAAGAAAATTGACATTGCATCAAATCTGTTTCACTCAAATACTAAGCTGTGTTACAGTTAGGTGGGCGTTAAGCTATCCGCAGGAGGTAGAAAAGCTCTAGGAAGCAGGAAAATGATTCATTGACTCCGGAAGACGTTACCCTTACCTGCAGGAAACGCTCTATTCGACAGGATGAGTGGTCTGGCCCAGCCCCATCGTAGCCATGTGGAAGGAGGATGACGATGCCGCTTTGTAGGAGCCACTTGGCCTCTCCTGGAAAAGTACCACGTGGGGAGTAAGAGCTCTACGAAGCGGGGACAAAGTGGCCTGACACGACTCAGCTGGGGAAATCAATGTTAGTTTTCTGCCTGGCCCCCCAAAACTGCTTTCATTACATGCACCTTCTAGAACTGTTATGCTATACTTAGGGAAATGTCCATTTCATTGAATGAAAACCTATCATGGGCTAGGCACGGTGGCTCACACCTGTAATCCCAGCACTTTGGGAGGCTGAGGCGGATAGATCACTTGAGGTCAGGTGTTCGAGACCAGCCTGGCCAACATGGTGAAACCCCGTCTCTACTAAAAATACAAAAATTAGCCAGCTGTAGTGGCACATGTCTGTAGTCCCAGCTACTCGGGAGGCTGAGGTGGGAGAATCACTTGACCCCGGGAGATAGAGGTTGCAGTGTCCTGAGATCATGCCACTGCACACCAGCCTGAGGGACAGAGTGAGACACCGTCTCAAAAAAGAAAGCCATAACCTATCACGGCACAGGCCCTGGGCTTTTACGAGTGGAAGACAAACTCAAAGGGGAACGTTCCCAGCTTCCTGGACAGCACATGCCGCTCCAATACCACCGCAGGCACCACTCTTACAAGAATGGGCAGCTCCCGGCCGGGCACAGTGGCTCACACCCGTAATCCCACCACTTTGGGAGGCTGAGGTGGGTGGATCATGAGGTCAGGAGAACGAGACCATCCCGGCTGACACGGTGAAACCCCATCTCTACTAAAAATACAAAAAATTAGCCGGGCGTGGTGACCAGCGCCTATGTAGTCCCAGCTACTCGGGAGGCTGAGGCAGGAGAATCGTGCAAACCCAGTAGGCGGAGCTTGCAGTGAGCCGAGATCGCACCACTGCACTCCAGCCTGGGTGACAGAGCGAGACTCCGTCTCAAAAAAAAAAAAAAAGAAAAGAAAAAGAATGGGCAGCTCTCACAGCCCAGCTGACAACACAGGCCACTGTCTTGAAACAGGGGGTGGTGGGCACGACAGAACAGTCTCTGGACAAGTCAGAAGTCCAGGCCCTCAGGCACTTTTCTTCCTCCCAGTGAAAATGTTACAGAGAAGCATAACTATAGGAAAGATTTAAGGCAGGTATTCAAAACCCAAGAGTGGGCATCCCTGGAAAATGGGATTCAGGGTCTGGGGAGAAGACTTAGACGTTTACTTCAATTACTTCTAATTTTTACGGTGAGCAGGTACTGCTTCGGAAGCTTTCAGACACTGGAGCGGGTTTTCATGGCCCTACTGACCCCTGAGCACAGGTGCTGGGTGGCACCAGTGCTCCTGCTGAGAGAGAGCTTGGGTTTTTGTCCCAGTAACACATTAACCTGACAGTGGCCACACTCCCGTCATAACAGGGTGACCCCAACTCCCTGGAGGCGCCGCCGCACACGGGAGTCTCAAGGCAGCAGTGGCCCCTTTTCATTCATTTGTCCCCACGAGGCTGGGGCCACGCAGGGACCCCCACCTGTACCCACCCTATACGCTGACACCAACCTCCAGAGATGAATGTGTCAAAGATGATCTGGGCACCATTGAAGAAATCGCCAAACTGTGCCTCCCACAGGGGCAGTAACTTTGGGCTCTCAATGCTCATCCCATATTCAAATCCCAGGACGGCCTCTTCTGACAGTGGGCTGTTGCTGACCTAATCCCAGAGAAGAGAAGGAAACGCTGCATGTGAGGGCCACGGCAGAGCACTGGGCTCCTGCGAACTTATCGAAGGGAGGTGGTGCGGAGAGGGAGCCTTGCTCTCGTTCATCACCACATTCTTTTTGTTTGTTTGTTTCTGCTTTTTGAGACGGAGTTTCACTTTTGTTGCCCAGGCTGGAGCGCAATGGCTCCATCTCGGCTCACTGCAACCTCCGCCTCCCAGGTTCAAGTGATTCTCTTGCCTCAGCCTCCTGAGTAGCTGGGATTACAGGCACCCGCCACCATGCCCAGCTAATTTTTGTACTTTTAGTAGAAACAGGGTTTCAGCATGTTGGCCAAGCTGGTCTCAAACTCCTGAGCTCAGGTGATCCACCCACCTTGGCCCCCCAAAGTGCTGGGGTTACAGCATGAGCCACCACGCCCGGCCTCATCACCACATTCTTTTGAGAAGAGATTTGCTGCTTGGTGTCAGTGATGCAGATGAGAAAAGTTGGGACAAAGAGAGGAAAAGATAAAAGAGGCTGGAATATGGGTATTACAGAGTTTCTTCAAGGATAAGCACATATACTTCTCAGATGACCCTCTTCTGGAGCTAGGTATACAACTGCGTCTTATAAGCTTTTCAAAAACCTGTGGCCGGGCGTGGTGGCCTCCCAACAATTTGGGAGGCCGAGATGGGAGGATCGCTTGAGCACAGGAGTTTGAGATCAACATGGGCAACATGGCAAAACCCCATCTCTAAAAAAAGCAGACAAAAATTAGCTGGGCATGGTGGCACATGCCTGTAGTCCCAACTACTTGGGAGGCTGAGGTGGGAGGATCACTTGAGCCCAGGAGGTTGAAACTACAGTGAGCTATAATCGCACCACTGCACTCCAGCCTGCGTGACACAGTGAGATCCTGTCTCAAAAAAGAAAAAAATTATCATGAAACAAAGTGAGGAAAGTTAAAAAATAAAGTCCTACCTTTGGTTAAAATCATTATTCTAACATCGTATTTGCATGGTAAATCAAAAGAACCATCATGATATGTTAACATTAAAAAAAGCAGAATACAAATTTTATCTCTGAGAAGGTTAAAAAGACATTACAATTAAATGCAAAACATAATCCCAGCACTTTGGGAGGCCAAAGCAGGAGGATCACCTGAGGTCAGGAGTTCGAGACCAGCCTGGCCAACATGGTGAAACCCAGTCTCTACAAAAAATACAAAAATTAGCTGAGCATGGTGATGCAGGCCTCAAGAGGCTGAGGTGGGAGGATTGCTTGAACCTGGGAGGTGGAGGTTGCATTGAGCCGAGATTGTGCCACTGCACTCCAGCCTGGGCAACAGAGTGAGACTCTGCCTAAAAAAAAAAAAGAAAAAAAAATTGTTGATCTTGGTTTGAGAAATACATGGTAGTCATGTCTGTGTTCATTTCCTGATTTTGGTGTGTTATGATGGAGAAGGATGTCCCCCCATTTGTGGAAATACACAGTAGGGGGCACCAGGATGGCAACTAGCTCTCAGATGGTTCAAGATGGAAAAAGGGAGCTAGGAGGATCACTTGGACACAGGAGGTCGAGGCTGCAGTGAGCAGTGATTGCATCACTACACTCCAGCCTGCGTGACAGAGTGAGACCCTGTCTCAAAAGAAAAAATAAAGATGAGAAAAAGTTCCTTACTGTACACAACATTTTGGTAATTTTGTTTCTTTCAAATTTTAAAAAAATATATGTTTAAGCTACATCTTTATAGAATATTATTTTGGAATAAAAAGGAAGGACGGGCAGAGTGTGGTGGCTCACACCTGTAATCTCAGCACTTTGGGAGGCTGAGATGATCACTTGAGGTCAAAAGTTTGAGATCAGCCTGGCCAATGTGGCGAGACCCTGTCTCTGCTACAAATTCAAAAATTAGCAGGGCCTGGTGGCGCACACCTGCAGTCCCAGCTACTTGGGAGGCTGAGGTGGGAGAACCACTTTAACCTAGGAATCTGAGGTTGCAGTGAGCCGAGGTTGCGCCACTGCACTCCAGCCTGGGCAACAGAGCAAGACTTGGTCTCAAAAAAAAGAAGGATGTACTGATACATGCTGCATGCATGGATGGACCTTGAAAGCATGATGCCAAGTCAAAGAAGCCAGTCCCAAAAGGCCACATGTTATACCGTTCTAGTCACATGAAACATCCAAAATAGGCAGATCAATAGAAACAAACAGTCGATGAGTGGTGTCCAGGGGCTGGAGGGAGGAAGGAATGGGCAGTGACTGCTAACGGGCATGGGCTTGCTTTCTAGGGTAATGAAAATGTTCTAAAATTAGATAGTGGTGATGATTACACAACTCTGTGAATAGACTACAAACTGCTCAAGTGTACACACTGAGAGGTTGAATTGTATGAGTTATAGCTCAATAAAGCTTTTACTTAAAAAAATAAAAACCCTCTAGGCTGGGCACGGCAGCTCACATCTATAATCCCAGCACTTTGGGAGGCCAAGGCAGGAGGATTGCTTGAGGCCAGGAATTCAAGATGACACTGGCCATCACAGTGAGACTCCTATCTCTACAAAATATTTAAAAGTAGCCAGGCGTGGTGGTGCTTGCCTGTAGTCCCAGCTACTTGAGAGGCTGAGGCGGGACAATTGCTTGTGCCTAAGAGCTGGAGGCTACAGTGAGCTATAATTGCACTGTGGGACTCCAGCCTAGGCAACAGAGGAGGACCTGTCACATACATACACACACACACACACACACACACACACACACACACAGATTGAGATGTACAACGAAGTTGGGGGAAAAACACACCCCAAGGACCTATTCACTTATCATGAAGGCTGCCTGACCTCTGTCCCTTCCTAGAAGCCATTATTGATAAGGGAATGCTGGTCAGTTACAAAATTCAATACTATTAGACAATGAAGGCAGATCACTACTCAGGAAAATATAGCTACTCTCACTACCAAGATCAAGCAGGAGTTTCTCCCAGGGTCTTCACATAGAGGACATGGTATTAAATAATAAATTACTCTTATTATTATTTGAGACAGAGTCTTGCTCTGTTGCCCAAACTGGAGGGCAGTGGTATGATCTCCGCTCACTACCTCTGCCTCCTGGGTTCAAGCAATTCTCCTGCCTCAACCTCCTGAGTAGCTGGGATTACAGGCGTGTGCCACCATGCCCGACTAATTTTTGTATTTTTAGTAGAGACAGGGTTTCGCCATGTTGGCCAGGCCAGTGTTGAACTCCTGGCCTCAAGTGATCTGCCTGCCTTGGCCTCCCAAAGTGCTGGGATTACAGGTGTGAGCCACCGTGCCAGGTCTAAATAATAAATTAAATCTTCGGCCAGGCGTGGTGGTTCACGCCTGTAATCCCAGCACTCTGGGAGGCCAAATAATCCCAGCTACTTGGGAGGCTGAAGCAGGAGAACTGCTCCAACCCAGGAGGCAGAGGTTGCAGTGAGCCTAGATCACGCCACTGCACTCCAGCCTGGGTGACAGAGTGAGGCTCCGTCTCAAATAAATAAATGAACGAATGAATGAATGAATGAAACTAAATTAAATCTTCAACAGTATCCACAAAACAGACACAAGGCATTTAATTGGGACTTTTTCAATAGCAAAATTCAAAACTGATAATAAATATCAAAGCACAATTCAATGAAAGCCTCATCTGAGGTAGGGGAATGCTAAACATTTCAGTATCTAGTTTGGCAATCTGACTTGATCCAAGGGTAGATTTTGGACTAACTTAAAGAAAAGATGAGCTCCATATCCCTTCAGTTATCTTCCTAAAATGTGGCTTTTGCCAAGTGAATTTTCTTTTTTTTTTTTTTTTTTTGAGACAGAGTCTCGCTCTGTCACCAGGCTGGAGTGCAGTGGTGTGTTCTCGGCTCACTGCAACCTCCGCCTCCTGGGTTCAAGCGATTCTTCTGCCTCAACCTCCTGAGTAGCTGGGACTACAGATGCATGCCACCACACCCAGCTAATTTTTCTATTTTTAGTAGAGATGGGGTTTCACCATTTTGGCCAGGATGGTCTTGATCTCTTGACCGTGTGATCTGCCCACCTCAGCCTCCCGAAGTGCTGGGATTACAGGCGTGAACCACCACACCCGGCCACCAAGTGAATTTTTTATAAGGTGTCAGTAACTCAAGATGATGTTCTCAAACTAATGGCTAGAGTAGGAAAGAAGATGACATGCCACTCAACTTACCTTAAGGAATAAGTTATTTTCATAAACATCATGTGCTAGACACTTGAATAATTGTTTGAGATAAATAAATGAAAAGACTCCACTACTATCCTTAAGGCACTACAGAGGGCACAGAGGCTGCCACACAGAAATACATGGTTATATCTGGCTGGGTGCAGTGGCTCACACCTATACTTCCAGTGCTTTGGGAGGCCAAGGCAGGTGGACTGCTTGAGGCCAGGAGTTCAAGACCAGCCTGGGCAACATGGTGAAATTCCATCTACTAAAAATAAAAAAATTAGCCAGGAATGGCACCTCATTCCCGTGGTCCCAGCTACTCGGGAGGCTGAAACATGAGGATCCCCTGAGCCTGGGAGGTGGAGGTTGCAGTGAGCCAAGATGGCACCACTGCACTCCAGCCTGGGCAACAGAGCAAGATTAAGTCTCCGAAAAAAAAGAAAGAAATACACGGTTATGTGTACATTCGTCAAGCCAATCATACCTTAGGGAACAGGTAACCTTGAGGATGTGCGATTTTGCTATCCTTAAGTAGGCAAGGAATACTGACTTATCCATATCTTTGACTAACTTTAATGAATTACAGCAATATGCAGATGATAATGTCAACTTTGAGTTGACAAAACACACATTGATTTGACATTTACATGATTACAGATATGTCACCAGAAGAAGAAAGCTCCAGCCTACTCTCTAGGGGTTACTTGCATTCCAAATTGACAGACCCACCTCATCCACCCATTTAGCACTCCTTTACTTCCAAAAGTACTGAACCCAAAGTTGCCAGCACTCCTTCCTACTTGTTCTAAGAATCCTGGAAGTGTAATCGTTGGCACCTGGATTTTACAACAGCTATAGAAACATCTCACCTCTAGAAACCCCTTCTGATTTGGGTCCATATGGTTCAGGGGGATGTAGGTGTCATCCGTCTCCTGGCAAACCACGATTGCATGCCTCTGACTGAAAGTTCCACGACCAACATCTTGGCCACTTAGACGAACATTAAAACCTTAAGCAAGCAAGAAAAAAAAAGTCAGATTCCCATAAATAACCTAATAATAAGGTGTGGTGACTGTAAATTCTTATATACTGGCTTAATCCTGAGAATTTTCCTTAGGATAACAGATAGTTATTAATATATGCTGTCCAATATTCAAAAGTCTATAGTTAAGATGAGATTGCATAAGAGTGGAGAGGTATCATGTGCCCTGCAATTTTTAGAGAAAACTATCTTTCCAGTACATCCAGCACTAGCCCTTTGTTTCCCAGGCATAACTGTCCTATGTCTATACTCTGATGAAGGTTGTCAGCATGACTTATACTACAAATAAGTAATATTGTCAGGAAAGAAAAATTAACATGCTTTAGAACCTCTCTGGTCAATGAACACAATGGGAGGTAGTTATAACTCAAATAAACTGCAAAGGTAACAGGTAGCAAACGTGATTAAAAGTACTCTCTACTAGCTAGACAGAAAATTCTTACCTTGGCTGGGCACGGTGGCTCACGCCCATAATCCTAGCACTTTGGGAGGCCGAGGCGGGTGGAACACGAGGTCAAGAGTTCGAGACCAGCCTGACCAACATAGTGAAACCCCGTCTCTACTAAAAATACAAAAATTAGCTGGGCATGGTGGTGCGCCCTACTTGGGAGGCTGGGGCAGGAGAATCGCTTGAACCTGGGAGGCGGAGGTTGCAGTGAGCTGAGATCGCACCACTGCATTCCAGCCTGGGCGACAGGGTGAGACTCAAAAAAAAAAAAAACAGAAAAAAAAAAGAAAATTCTTACCTTGAGCAAGTAAAGAACCCAAGGCAAGAGCTTCCGCGGTGGCCCAGTCTAGCTTGATTCCGTCCATCATCTTCTCCATTCTGGACTGTAAAATTCAGAGGAAGAAAAAAAAGGAACGTCTAAGAGTCCATTTCCTTTTTCACAATGAGTACAAAAAATTTAATGCAGGCCAGGCATGGTGGCTCATGCCTGTAATCCCAGCACTTTGGGAGGCCCAGGCGGGTGGATCACTTGAGGTAAGGAGTTCAAGACCAGCCTGGACAACATGGTGAAACTCCATCTCTACTAAAAATACAAAAATTAGCTAGGCCTGGTGGCGTGTCTCTATGATACCAGCTACTCAGGAAGCTGAGGCAGGGAGTCACTGGAACCTGAGAGGCGGAGGTTGCAGTGAGCTGAGATGGCTCCACTACACTACAGCCTGGGCGACAGAGCAAGACTTGATCTCAAAAAAAAAAAAAAAAAAAAAGCAACGAAATTAAGCATCAAAAACAATGCTGAATAAAAACAGAGTACAAAAGGATACATTAGAGAAGGAGAGCAATTATATACAGTTTTTATTTATTTATTTTTTTCTGAGGCAGTCTCACTCTGTCACGCAGGCTAGAGTGCAGTGGCGTGATCTTGGCTGATTGCAACCTCAGCCTCCCTGGTTCAAGTGATTCTCCTGCCTCAGCCTCCTAAGTAGCTGGGACTATGGGTGCACACCACCACGCCCAGCTAATTTTTGTACTTTTTAGTGGAGAAGGGGTTTCGCCATGTTGGTCAGACTGGTCTTGAACCCCTGAACTCAAATAATCTGCCCGGCTTGGCCTCCCAAAGTTCTCAGATTACAGGAGTGAGCCACCACACCCGGCCTATATACAATTTTAAAACAGGCAAAACAAACACGTGCTTAGGTTAGTGGTTACCTCTGCGGAGGTGGGAGGAGATGGATCAAGGAGGGGTATGTGGGGAACTGTATTTATAACATCCTATTTCCTAAGCTGAGTGATGAGTACATATTAATAGTTTGTTGTAATAGTCTCTGTACCTATAATAAAAACTTAAAGTTAGTGGGTTGGTTTTTTTTTTTTAATTTCCTCTTTTTGGAGAAACAGGATCTTATTCTGTCACCCAGGCTGGAGTACAGTGGTGCAATCTCAGCTCATTGCAGGCTCGACCTTCTGGGCTCAAGCAATCCTCCCACCTCAGCCTCCTGAGGAGCTGAGACTACAGGCATGCGCCACCATGCCAGGCAAATTTTTTAATCTTTACTAGCGATAAGGTCCACTATGTTGCCCAGGCTGGTCTTGAACTTCTAGGCTCAAGCAATCCTTCCACCTTGGCCTTCCAAAGCACTGGTATTACAGATAGGAGCCACCGTGCCTGGCCAAGTTAGTGTTTGAAAATAATTCATGTTAGGCATGGTGGCTCACACCTGTAAACCCAGCACTTTGGGAGGCCAAAGTGGATGGATCAATTGAGGTCAGGAGTTCAAGACCAACCTGGCCAACATGGTGAAAACCCATCTCTACTAAAAATACAAAAATTAGCTGGGCATGGTGGCACATGCCTGTAATCCCAGCTACTCAGGAGGCTGAGGCAGGAGAATCGTTTGAACCTGGGAGGTGGAGGTTGCAGTGAGCCGAGATCACGCCACTGCACACCAGCCTGGGTGACAGAGTGAGATTCCATCCAAAAATAACATAAAATAAAATAATTTAGAGGGCAAAGTTCCTTCATCCAAGCTTAAGAAAGAAAAAGACATTTAACTCTTTGCTCTCCTTGTTTTAGCACTTAAAGTCCCACATTCCAGAAAACCCCTAAGTCCCAGGTCCACCAGGGTGGTTTGTCATCCTATAGTGATCCTAAGACAATACGTAAAACATGAGCATGTTTAGGGGGCTACCTTGGGGTATGTGTGTTGACTTTTGTTTCTTTTATTTAAGCCACCTGAAACAAAGTGTTTTCTACTCACTGGTTGGAAAAATAAAAACAGACATTCTTGTATCTCTGTATTTCTTATAGTGTGCATGTATTCCAGGTACATGTAATGTATGAACATGCATAAATAAATAAATACATGGAGGAAAAAGAAAAGAAGAGAAAATCTGAGGTAACTGACTATCAGTACCAAAACAACACTAGGATCAGTTTCTAGAACCTAACGACACACAATAAATATTTGTCAAATGAATCAGACAACTGAAAACACCAGACCAACGTCAGCTCCTTTGCTGAGCAGGAAGGAGAAGCAATAACCAGCCATTTGGAGGCTGCCCACCTGAACATGTGTCTTCAGCAGGTGACTGTGCATCTGCAGCTCTCTTGGCACCTCTACAGACTTCATGCCAACAAACCGCAGGAGGTCGAGGGGCACACCTGTACTCCAGGTGGTGATTTGCGCTTCTGGCTGAGCCAGGCCCTGCCAGTGGGCCTGCAGGTTCAGGGCAGGGGGCCTGTAGTGGGCCATGTTATTTAAGTGATCATTCAACTTGGCATAGTAGGAGGATTTTATTTCAGACACCTCCTCCTGCGTCATGAGTCCGCCAGCAATGAGGTGCTCTGCATATGTGTCTGGAATGCTCTTTCGAGCTCTGCCCAAGAAAGAGAAGAAACAAAAATCAGTCTGACCTGTAACAATCTAATAGAGACAAGGAGAGTCACTGTCAAGGGCGGTGGAGTGTCAGCACTCTAAAAAGGCATTCGACAGGTGCAGTGGCTCACACCTACAATCTTAGCATTTTGGGAGGCCAAAGTGGGTGGATCACCTGAGGTCAGGAGTTCGGGACCAGCCTGGCCAACGTGGTGAAACCCTGTCTCTACTAAAAATACAAAAAATTAGCTTGGCATGGTGGCGGGCGCCTGTAATCCCAGCTACTCAGGAGGCTGAGGCAGGAGAATTGCTTGAACCTAAGTGGTAGAGGTTGCAGTGAGCCGAGATGGCACCACTGCACTCCAGCCTAGGCAACAAAAGTGAAACTCCGTCTCAAAAACCAAATAAATAAAATTAAAAATAAATAAAAATAAAATAAAAAGGCATTCAGGAAAAATGTTTTGGAACTTGACAGAAGTGATGGTTGCACCACTTTGTGAAGGTAAATAAATGCCACTGAGTTGTTCGCATTAAGACAGCCAATTTTATATTATGTCACGTTCATCTCAATAAGTTTATAAAACAGAAACAAAATAAATAAACAATGTTAAATATAATAAATTAATTTAATAAATGAAGGCACTCATAGTAACAACCTCTTTTCCAGGCAACTGAGAGAAAACAAATTTATAAGTTTTTGTCTGCATCCAAATAGAAATAATTAACAGAGTTTTTCTATGATTTGGTAAATTCTGACAATTATTTCCAAGACTGACCCACACTGTCTATCCAATCAGCACCCCCCTTTATCTAAAAAGGTATGGAACCCAAAGTTGCTCCAGTCTGAAAGTTGCAATCTTTCAGGTTGCATCTATCATCCTTTAACTACAATCATCAACACCTGGGTGTTACAATAAATGTCACTCTACATTCATGTCATACTTTCAACTATAAAGTCTATTCACATATATTATCATATTTAATCCTGATAAAAGAGAGAAGAAAGCAGGATAGATTTTAAAGCTAACGCCCTGGGGCCAGGTGAGGAGGCTCATGCCTGCAATCCCAGAACTTTGGGAGGCCGAGACGGGCAGATGGCGAGACCAGCTTGGGTAACGCTGTGAGACCCCATCTAGTCAGGCATAGTGGCAAGCGCCTGTAGTCCCAGGTTCTCAGGAGGTGGAGGCGGGAGGATCGCTTGAGCCCAGGAAGTCGAGGCTACAGTGAGCCGTGATCATACCACTGCACTACAGCCTGGGCGACAGAGCAAGACCGTGTCTCAAAAAAATAAATAAAATAAAATAGAACCCTGAGGTTCACTGAGTCATTCAGCTGCTAAATTCAGAGCTAAACAGAACACAATTAGTTCTTCTGAGAGCAGTCCTCTTTCTGGTACCAAGGATCAGAAACGCTCATAAAACGTGTATTCCTCTGCTTTAATTTATATCTATAAGGAAATAAACTTGGAGGAGGGGAATCTATTTTATTTTCTAGTATCTAGAAAAGGAAGTTCCAAAGTAACAAATTCCCCCTCCGTCACATTAACCATCTGAATCAGCACCATGGGACAGAAATGAAATGCAAGCCATGAGTAATTTAAAATTTTCTGGCAGTCACGTTAGAAAAGATAAAAAGAAACAGGTGAAATTAATTTCTTTTCTTCTTGTTTTTTCTTTGAGACCGAGTCTCGCTCTGTCGCCCAGGCTGGAATGCAGTGGCACAATCTCAGCTCACTGCAACCTCCGCCTCCCCAGTTCAAGCGATTCTGTTGCCTCAGCCTCCCGAGTAGCTGGGACTACAGGCACGCGCCACAACGCCAGCTAATTTTTCTTTTTCTTTTCTTTTCTTTTCTTTTTTTTTTTTTTTTTTTTTGAGACGGAGTCTCGCTATGCCACCCAGGCTGGAGTGCAGTGGTGCGATCTGGGCTCACTGCAAGCTCCGCCTCCCGGGTTCACGCCATTCTCCTGCCTCAGCCTCCCGAGTAGCTGGGACTACAGGCGCCCGCCACCACGCCCGGCTAATTTTTTGTATTTTTAGTAGAGACGCGGTTTCACCGTGTTAGTCAGGATGGTCTCGATCTCCTGACCTCGTGATCCGCCCGCCTCGGCCTCCCAAAGTGCTGGGATTACAGGCGTGAGCCACCGCGCCTGGCCAAATTTTTCTATTTTTAGTAGAGATGGGGTTTCACCATGTTGGCCAGGCCGGTCTCAAACTCCTGACCTCAAGTGATCCACCCACCTTGGCCTCCCAAAGTGCTGGGATTACAGGCATAAGCCACCATGCCCGGCATTTCAATAACATATTTTATTTAAGTCAATATACTCATTATATTGTCATTTCCATATCTAATAAATTTAAAAATATTATTTTGGGTTTATATTTTACATGCTAAGTGTTTGAAATATGGTGTGTGTATTATCCTTACAGCACATTAATCAGGACTGGCCACTTTTCAAGTACTCAATAGCCACTGATGGCTAGTGGCTTCCATCTTGGACAGCATGGTTCTGAACATTCATTAGAATCTTCTGAGTTACCTCTCACCAAGGTGCCAGGCAGGTCTGCAGCTATGGTTTGTAGAAATGAATCACTGAGGTTCTATTTCTGGTCCTGCCGACACTGCAGTAAATAGATTTGGGCGAGGTTTGCTTAATTCCCCCTGCTTCAATCTTCCCATCTGCTGAGTTTTCTATTGCCCTTTTTCTATTCAATGAGGAACCATGTCAAGTGTGAAGAGTATGGGAGGCCAGGCACGGTGGCTCATGCCTGTAATCCTAGCACTTTGGGAGGCTAAGGCAGGTGGATCACTTGAGACCGGGAGTTTGAGACCAGCCTAGCCAACATGGCGAAACCCCTGTCTGTACTAAAAATACAAAGATTAGCCAGGCGTGGTGATGCATACCTGTAATCCCAGCTACTCAGGAAGCTGAGGCACAAGAATTGCAATTGCTTGAACCCAGGAGGCAGAGGTTGCAGTGAGCCAAGACTGTGCCACCTGCACTCCAGCCCAGAACTGTGTCAGCTTTAGCTCTTAAAGTTTCATGTCCTGCCTGGGCATGGTGGCTCATGCCTGTAATCCCAGCACTTTGGGAGGGCGAGGCAGGCAGATCACCTGAGGTCAGGAGTTTGACATCAGCCTGGCCAACATGGCAAAACTCCATCTCTACTAAAAAGTATGAAAACTAGCCAGGCACGGTGGCACACGCCTGTAATCCCAGCTACTCGGGAGGTTGAGGCAAGAGGATCACTTGAGGCAGGAGGATCATTTGAACCCGGGAGGTGGAGATGGCAGTGAGCCAAGATCGTGCTACTGCATTCCAGACTGGGTGACAAAGCAAGACTCCATCTCAAAAGAATAATAATAGTAATTTTAATTTTTAGGGGGCATATCACACAAGGGTTTATAATTGTACCTGATGATTTTGTACATGATGGGGTTGGTGTAGAATGGCTCATCCAGCTCATTGTGGCCCCACTGCCTGTAGCACAACAGATCAATAATCA
Organism: Homo sapiens; assembly: GCF_000001405.40. Lineage (NCBI taxonomy): Eukaryota > Metazoa > Chordata > Mammalia > Primates > Hominidae > Homo > Homo sapiens. The sequence goes on along the minus strand of NC_000010.11, from coordinate 12,094,180 downwards.
CATCCTTGCGGAACTGGCGTTGGTATTCAAAAGCCAGTCGTGTGGCACGGACCACTTCCTCTGGGCTGTCTCCATTGACATGGATGATGGCACAGCCCACAAGCTTCCCTGAAGGACAGAAGACCAAGCCGAAACAGGACAGTTAACCCAGAATGACACTGGCCCTCTCTAAGCCCTACTTCCTGCATCAAAAGACAGCCCAATCCTCACAGGTAGATATTGGTTTGGTTAACAACCCCAGCTTTGGAGACCAGCTGGCAAGTTCCAACTCTGGGACTTATTGTGTGACCTCGGTAAAGCTACAAATCTCAACCTACTTATCTATAAATCGGGAATGGGGCTCCTACCTCTTAGTGATGTTGCAAAGGTTCGATGAGTGAATGCACAAACAATTGTAATGCCTAACAGTGCCTGGTACATAGTAGTTAATATTTATTTTGTTACTGTTATTATCATTACTCTCTTTCTCCCTGAGATAAAAGGGTCATTAAAGGATGTACCTTAGAAAAAGATAAATTTGCTCCAAAGAATCTTCATCAGACTAATCATAAAGGATTCACATAGACAAGCCCAAGAGGCATCCAGTCCAGGCTGTTTGTATAAAAGGAGAATAGTTGCTACCATCAAACAGCCTTGTAAACTGTGAAACTGGGAATGGGTAATAACAGCACTGTCTTTATCTTAAGATGACCAATTTCAGCCTGGCACAGTGGTTCACGCCTGTAATCTCAGCAGTTTGGAAGGCTGAAGAGGGATCACACAAGACCAGAGGTTCAAGACCAGCCTGGGCAACACAGTGACTCAATCTCTACAAAAATTATTTTAAAAATTAGCTGTGGCCAGGTGCAGTGGCTCACGCCTATAATCCCAGCACTCTGGGAGGCTGAGGCAGGTGAATTACCTGAGGTCAGGAGTTTGAGACCAGCCTGACCAACATGGTGAAACCCCGTCTCTACTAAAAACACAAAATTTAGCTGGGTGTGGTGGTGGACACCTGTAGTCCCAGCTACTCGGGAGGCTGAGGCAGGAGAATTGCTTGAACCCGGGAGGTGCAAGTTGTGGTGAACCGAGATGGCGCCATTGCACTGCAGCGTGGGCAACAAGAGCGAAACTCCATCTCAAAAAAAAAAAAAAATTAGCTGTGCATGGTGGCATGTGTCTGTAAATCGCAGCTACTAAGGAGGCTGAGGAGGGAGGATCTCTTGAGCCAGGGATGTCAAGGCTGCAGTGAGCCATGATTGTACCACTGCACTCCAGTCTGAGTAACAGAGCAAGACTCTCAAAACAACAACAACAACAAAAAAACCTACCAATTTCCACAGATAAAAAAGAAGCTGACTTTGATTCTTCACATCTTATTTCTTTTTTTTGCCCTTTGAGATGGAGTTTCGCTCTTGTTGCCCACGCTGTAGTGCAATGGCCTGATCTTGGCTCACTGCAACCTCCGCCTCCCAGGTTCAAGTGATTCTCCTGTCTCAGCCTCCCGAGTAGCTGGGATTACAGGCATGCACCACCATGCCCAGCTAATTTTGTGTTTTTATTAGAGACGGGGTTTCTCTATGTTGGTCAGGCTGGTCTCGAACTCCCAAGCTCAGATGATCCACCTGCCTTAGCCTCCCAAAGTGCTGGGATTACAGACGTGAGCCACTGTGCCCAGCCTTCACATCTTATTTCTAACTATACTATTTCACCAAGTTTAGTGGTTGAACACATCCCTTATCACTAAGCCCCTGGGCACTCCAAGTTTGAATATCCTAGAGATAACAACTCTGGTGTTGTACTCATTGTGTTGATCTCTGACTTGTACCAGATCACCCATCCAGTTATAAGAAATTTGAGATGGCACACTGTGGCTCCATCCTTGTCTTATTTCTTTGGATTTAAAAATCACACTGATAGGCTGGGCATGGTGGCTCACGCCTTTAATCCCAGCACTTTGGGAGGCCTAAGCAGGCAGATCACCAGAGGTCAGGAGTTCAAGACCAGCCTGCCAACATGGTGAAACCCCGTCTCTACTAAAAATACAAAAATTAGACAGGTGTGGTGGTGTACACCTGTAGTCCCAACTACTTGGGAGGCTGAGGCATGAGAATCACTTGAACCTGAAAGGCGGAGGTTGCAGTAAGCCGAGATCACGTACTCCAGCATGGAGTACAAGCTGGAAAGGGCAACAGAGCAAGACTCCATCTAAAAAAAAAAAAAAAAAAAATTAGCCAGACATGGTGGTGCACGCATGTGGTCCCAGCTAATCAGGAGGCTGAGGCAAGAGAATCACTTGAACTCGGGAGGCAGAAGTTGCAGTGAGCCAAGATCGTGCTGCTGCACTACAGGCTGGGTGACAGAGCAAGACTCCATCTCAAAAAATTAATTAATTAATTAATTAATTAAATGAAAGGAGGGATAACCAGTGAGGCTCATTGTTCTGTGTGCACCAGAGGTTTCCCTAGGAATTCCATGTCGGCTTCAGCAATATCAGTTCCTCCCTGTGTTACGTACCAATATCACTGCAGTATAAAGAAGACCTTCCTCTTTCAGCTGGAGTGGTGTAACCCAGCTGGTTATTAACAATCAAATGCACACTCCCACCAATTCTGAAATGTGGGAGATTGGACAGCGTGAATGTTTCAGGAACAATCCCTTGACCACAGAAAGAAGCATCACCATGGACCTAAATCATGAGGCAAGGGGAGCGGGTGGGGAGAAAAGAAACATAAGGGATTAAGAAATCTAGGTTTTCAGGTTGGAATAACTTTTTTTTTTTTTTTTTTTGAGACAGAGTCTTGCTCTTTCGCCCAGGCTGGAGTGAAATGGCACGATCTCAGCTCACTGCATCCTCTGCCTCCCGGGTTCAAGTGATTCTCCTGCCTCAGCTTCCCTAGTAGCTGGGATTATAGGCATGCACCACCACACCCGGCTAATTTTTTGTATTTTTAGTAGAGGCGGGGTTTCACCATGTTGGTCAGGCTGGTCTCAAACTTCTGACCTCAGGTGATCCACCCTCCTTGGCCTCCCAAAGTGCTGGGATTACAGGCATGAGCCACAGCGACCAGCCTCATTTATCATCATTTTAAAGAAAATGGCCTTTTCACCTTTTATTTCAGAAGTCAATCTTTTTTTGTTTTTTTTTGAGACGGAGTCTCGCTCTGTTGCCCAGGCGGGAGTGCGGTGGCGCAATCTCGGCTCACTGCAAGCTCCGCCTCCGGGGTTCACGCCATTCTCCTGCCTCAGCCTCCCGAGTAGCTGGGACTACAGGCGCCCGCCACCACAATCTTAAGATCAGCTCAATGTACTGGGTAAAAATGAAGGATTAAAATAGAGTATTATAAATTATGTGAAAGGTAAACAGAATGTCTGGCTAATGATTTCAAGATTTCTATTTAGAAACACCCTATCAGGCCAGGTGCAGTGGTTCACACCTGTAATATCTACACTTTGGGAGGCCAAGGCAGGAGGGTTGCTTGAAGCTAGGAATTTGAAACCAGCTTGGCCAACCCAGCAAGATCATGTCTCCACAAAATAAAATAAAATAAATCAGCCAGGTATGATGGCATGCACCTGTAGGCCCAGCTACTTGGGAGGCTGAGACAGGAAGATTGCTTGAGCCTAGGCATTTGAGCCTACAGTGAGCTATGATTGCACCATTGCACTCCTGCCTGGACAAAAGATTGAGAACCCATCTTGAAAGAAAGAGAGAGAAAGAAGAAGGAAGGAAGGAAGGAAGGAAGGAAGGAAGGAAGGAAGGAAGGAAGGAAAAAGGAAGGAAGGAAGGAAAAAAGGAAGGAAGGAAGGAAAAAAGGAAGGAAGGAAGGAAGGGAGGGAGGGCCGGCCATATCATAATGAAATCCAATTCTGCCTACTCCCAATTTATTCACTACAAGTTTCTGGCCTGTGAAAAATTAAAATGCATAGGATAACGTGGCATTTACAAACATAGAATATTTGATTGCCTTATATATTTATCTATTTCTGTGGAATTTGAAGACTGATTCTGAAATCCAGGTTTCATGATCTCCTGTAGTTAAAGGTTCATATTTAAATGAATACTCACAGAAGAAACATGACCACAGCCCAAACCTCTAAAAGATACTTGTTGTGTTACCAAAAACTGGGAGACAGGGTAGAAAAAGAACGAACCACACTGATAATTTGTGTTATGTGCCTTAATACCAAAGACTTTCATTTTCAAATAAACAAGCAAAAAAAAAAAATAGGCTAGGTATAGTGGCTCATGCCTGTAATCTCAGCACTTTGGGAGGCTGAGGTGGGAGGATCACTTGAGGTCAGGAGTTTGAGACCAGGCTGGCCAACATGGTGAAACCCTGTCTCTACTAAAAATACAAAAATTAGCTGGGCGTGGTGGCACGTGCCTGTAGTCCCAGCTACTCGGGAGGCTGAGGCAGGAGAATCACTTGAACCCAGGAGGCAGAGGTTGCAGTGAGCTGAGATTTCGCCACTGCACTCCAGCCTGAGTGACAGAGTGAGACTCGGTCTCAAAAAAAAAGCCATAAAAAAGAAAAGATAATAAAGTAAACAAGAAACGAAGTAAAACCACACTTAAAGTCTTTTTTTTTTTCACGCTTGTCTTGTTATATGTATGGGAACCACAAAGTTTCCAAGAAGGCCATACTTCCAGAGAGATAATGACATCTGTGCTCTAAGAAGGAGCAGGTTTGCCAGCCCAAACCCCAAGTTAATTCATAAGCCATGCAAGGAAAACAGAAGTGGAAGCCCCAGGCTAAAGCCAGTTGCCTGAAGACTAAACCTCATGAATCTCCTGTTAGTTTTTAAAACAATCCCAGAATCTTTTTCCAAAAGGTCATCTCAGTTTCATCATGAATGTCTGCCATGTGCTTTCAGCCCTCCCAACCCACACATTCTTCCCAGTTTTCCCCACCTCTGGCCTCAATTTCAGAAGCTCCAAGTACCTGTAAGCAAATGACCCTGTCCCCCGGCTGGGCTGAGTTGTCTGGAGAGTAATCGCCGTCTTGGCGAGACTGCTGCCTGCCGCGAGTTTTGCCCACGGCCACGGGGTTGACGGCCTCCAGGTGCGAGGGATTGGGCAACATTGTCACATGGAGGGGATGGTGCGCCCCAAAGTACAGGTCCACAGAGGAGGTCAGGTGAGACAGGACGTCTCCAGTGGCTGAGAAATTCTCTGGAAATTCACTTAAGCCTCGCATTTTACGGAACATCAGCTATTGTGGATACATTCAAAAGGAAAAAAATGGCATTCATCACAATGGAGTCTAGGGAAGAAGTGCTGAGTTGAAATCATACAACAAAAAAGAAAATTTAAAGCCAGGAGTGGTGGCTTATGCCTGTAATTCCAGCACTTTGGGAGGCTGAGACGGGAAGATCACTTGAGGTCAGGAGTTCGGGACCAGCCTGGCCAACATGGTGAAACCCCGTCTCTATTAAAAATACAAAAAATTAGTTGGGTGTGGTGGCAGGTACCTGTAATCCCAGCTAGTAGAGAGGCTGAGGCATAAGAATCACTTGAACCTGGGAGGCGGAGGTTGCAGTGAGCCGAGATCACGCCACTGCACTCCAGCCTGGGTGACAGAGCGAGATTAGGTCTCAATAAATAAATAAGTAAGTATACATGGAAAACCAATCCAAATACCAACTCTGTCAATTAACTAAACTGTCTAAGCTACCTCCTGGACCAACTGCTCATATGCTTAGTTGCCTTTCCTCTTTTTTTTTTTTAAGACAGGATCTGGCTCTGTCTTCCAGGCTGGAGGGCAGTGGCACAGTCTCAGCTCACTGCAGCCTCCATCTCCTGGACTCAAGAGATCCTCCCATCCCAGCCTCCCAAGTAGCTGGAACCATAGGTGCACCACCTAATTTTCATGTTTGTAGAGACCATGCCACCTAATTTTTATTTTTGTAGGGACAGAGTTTTGCGAGGTTACCCATGGTCTTGAACTCCTGGGCTCAAGCACTCCTCTTGCCTTAGCCTCCCAAAGTGCTGGGATTGCAGGTATGAGCCACCTTGCCCAGCCTTAGTTGACTTCCTAAAATGAATGATCACCATGAGTTTTACTTTTTAAAAATTTATTTATATTCAGGCAGCATCTTGCTTTGTTGCCCAGCCTGGAGTGCAGTGGTGAGATCATAGCTCACTGCAGCCTCAAACTCCTGGGCTCAAGTGATCCTCTGGCCTCAGTCTCCTGAGTAGCTGGGAACACGGGTGCGTGCCACCATGCTTGGCTAACTTATTTTATTTTTGGTAGAGACAAAGTCTCACTTTGTTCCACAGGGTGGTCTCAAACTCCTAGATTCAAGCCATCCTCCTGCCTCATCCTCCCAACAGGCTGGGATTGCAGGTGTGAGCCACAGTGCCCGGCCATCACCATCACCATCATTTATCACCAGAATGAAACCAGCAGTTTTATTCTGTTACAATCAATCATATAGTGCTACTGAGAAACACAGCGAGTAACCTTACCTCTGGAGGGAACTGCAGAAGGCCTGTCAATAAATTCAGCCTCCCTCTATGGGGCATCCCAATAATGACATCAGTGATCCCGCTGTAGGCCGACATTTTCAGCAGCTCGTGGAAAAAGCCCATCATGCTTTCAGCCCCTTCGCCTCCATATCGCTTCACTGTCGAGAACTTGGTGGCCAGAAAGTGGTCAAACTCCTGCAGAACATCATGTCAGACGTGAGCTGCCAGGAGACAGCCAGCTTCTCCAGTGGAAGGCAGATAAGTCTGTGTGTGTTGTGAGATGGCCCCACACTCCCCAAGTGGCCACAGCAATGCCACTTTACTACATATCCCGGAGAGAGACATAACACGGACACAGCGGGATGGTTTTCCTAGGATCCGGGACAGTAGGAGGGGCTGAGGAGAATAACCTGAGCGGCAGAATAACTCACCCCAAGGAAACCCCCTTAGAATGTGTGTTCTTCTGGACTGGAATCCAGGCCTTAGATTTCTGCTGCCTCTTCCCAGTACCCCAGTTTTCACACGGGGCTCTACGGTATGAATCAAGGCTGCAAACTATCCAACTACCCAAACTATTAGGAAGGGGCTTCTTGCCATCTTGACATTCCAGAGTCCTGGTCACAGCCCCAGCAGAGGTTCAGTTCCATTCATTTGTACTGAGCCTGTCTTCCACATGTCATCTTTTGATCATCTCAGATTAAGTTCTGAACTTAAGTATCTTTAGTTCTTAAGAAGTAAGACCAGGCCAGGCATGGTGGTTCACGTCTGTAATCCCAGCACTTCGGGAGGCCAAGGCAGGTGGATCACTTGAGGCCAGGAGTTTGAGACTTGGCCAACATGGTGAAACCCCGTCTCTACTGAAAATCTAAAAATTAGCCGGGTGTGGTGGTGTGCACCTGTAATCCCAGCTACTCAGGAGGCTGAGGCAGGAGAATTGCTTGAGTCCAGGAGGCGGAGGTTGCAGTGAGCCGAGATCGTGCCACTGCACTCCAACCTGGGTGACAGAGCAAGACTGTCTCAAGAACTGCAACTGTACATAGCCCTGAATGGTGACAGTATGTCCTGTTACCAAAAGACTTTTTTTTCTCACATATTAAAAGAAATTTTAGGCCAGTCACGGTGGCTGATGCCTTAATCCCAGCACTTTGGGAGGCCGAGGTGGGCAGATCATGAGGTCAGGAGATCGAGACCATCCTGGCTAACACATTTTAGGCTGGGCGCGGTGGCTCATGCCTGTAATCCCAGCACTTTGGAAGGCTGATGGGAGTGAATCACGAGGTCAGGAGATCGAGACCATCCTGACTAACACAGTGAAACCCCGTTCTACTAAAAATACAAAAAATTAGCCAGGCATCATGGCATGCACCTGTAGTCCCAGCTACTTGGGAGGCTGAGGCAGGAGAATGGCTTGAACCTGGGAGGCAGAGGTTACAGTGAGCTGAGATCATACCACTGCACTCCAGCCTGGGCGACAGGGAGAATCCATCTCAAAAAAAAAAAAAAGAAAAGAAAACAAAAGAAAAATAAATTTTAAATAAATTTTTAAAAAATTTTGTTTAAAAGGCCAGGTGTGGTGGCTCACGCCTGTAATCCTAGCATTTTGGGAGGCCGAGGCGGGTGGATCATGAAGTCAGGAGATCGAGACCATCTTGGCCAACATGATGAAACCCCGTCTCTACTAAAAATACAAAAATTAGCTGGGTGTGGTGGCACGTGCCTGTAATCCCAGCTACTTGGGCGACAGGGCAAGACTCCATCTCAAAAAAATAAAAATAAAATAAATAAATAAAACCTTAAGAACTATGTTTTTTTATTTTTTTGGACAGAGTCTTGCTCTGTTGCCCAGACTGGAGTACAGTGGTGCAATCTTAGCTCACTGCAGTGGTGTGATCTCGGCTCGCTGCAACCTCCGCCTCCTGGGTTCAAGAGATTCTCCTGCCTCAGCTTCCCAAGTAGTTGGGACCACAGGTATGCTCCACCACATCAGGCTAATTTTTTGTATTTTGTTTTTTTAGTAGACACGGGGTTTCACCATGTTGGCCTGGCTGGTATCAAACTCCTGACCTCAAGCAATACGCCCACCTAAGCCTCCCAAAGGGCTGGGATGACAGGCGCGAGCCACTGTGCCCAGTCAGAAGTAAGGTCTTAAGTAAGTCTTAAGTAAGGTCTTTTATAGAGTGAGTAGACACATACACGAGAAGTATTTTGACTCTGAGGAGAGCCAATAGGTCAATATTTTGGCAACCAACATTTTGCTACTTAGAATAAAGTGATATGCTCAGAACAAGGATCTCTGAGGAAAAATAAAATAATAAAATGGTGTGTGTTATATGATCTGTTGTGTTGAAGTAACGAGGGATTTAAGCTCAGAGTTAATGGCTCAATTCCCTCTCTTCAGTAGTTATATATCTTTTTTTTTTGAGACAGAGTCTCGCTCTGTCACCCAGGCTGGAGTGCAGTGGCGCGATCTCAGCTCACTGCAGCCTCCACCTCCCAGGTTCCAAGGATTCCCATGCCTCAGCCTCCTGATTAGCTGGGATTATAGGTGTGCACCATCACCCCTGGCTAATTTTTGTATTTTTAGTAGAGACGGGGTTTCTCTATGTCAGCCAGGCTATATATCTTTATAGGCAGTGAGGCTGACCTATGCCCTTGCTATTAAATGCTCCTTTTTTTTTGAGAAGGTGTTTCACTCTTGTTACCCAGGGTGGAGTGCAATGGCGCAATCTCGGCTCACTGCAACCTCTGCCTCCTGGGTTCAAGCAATTCTGCTGCCTCAGCCTCATGAGTAGCTAGGATTACAGGCATGCACCAGCATGCCTGGCTAATTTTCGTATTTTTAGTAGAGATGGGGTTTCTCCATGTTGGTCAGGCTGGTCTTGAACTCCTGACCTCAGGTGATCCGCCCGCCTCGGCCTCCCAAAGTGCTGGGATTACAGGCATGAGCCACCGTGCCCGGCCTAGATGCTCCTTTTTACCTGAGATTCCAGCATTAGTTTCGACAGATGTTTTCGCTCTTCTGTGGTAAACGTCTCCTTTTGCAGTTCCTCAAACCGCTTGGCAAACCAGTCTTTCTCATCCTGGCTCTGAAGTTGGGAGGTTTCAATAGAAATCTGCCCACAGTAGATTTGATTGAGATAGACTAACACTTCCTCAAGTGAGGCCTCTTCCTTCCCCATGTTCAATAATCCTGTGAAATACAATCAAAGGGGTCATCTTAAAAAATAATCATGTTCCTTAACATGATGTTGAGATTATTATATACTGTATTTTCTTCTAAATTAACCCCAATGTTTAAAAACTCACTTTCCCCCTTTAATTGAAGGCATTGTTTTGTTATATGCAGTAATGATTTTTACCAGAGATTATTGTTTCCTATGCAAAATAAATTTTCATATTTAAAAAAAATTTAAAAAAAAAAAAATCATGTGGCAAGTTAATTCTGGAACATACCAAAATAATTACTTCAACGCAGAGTGCTTTGTTCTTAATAACTTGGGTCATTATTGGCCGGGTGCCGTGGCTCACGCCTGTAATCCCAACACTTTGGGAGGCAAGGCGGGTGGATCTCCTGAGGTCAGGAGTTCGAGCCCAGCCTGACCAATATGGTAAAACTCCGTCTCTACTAAAATTACAAAAATTAGCCGGGCATGGTAGCGTGCGCCTGTAGTCCCAGCTACTCGAGAGGCTGAGGCAGGACAATTGCTTGAACCTGGGAGGCAGAGGTTGCAGTGAGCCGAGATCACACCACTGCACTCCAGCCTGGGCGACAGAGCAAGGCTCTGTCCCAAAATAAATAAATAAATAAATAACTTGGGTTATTATTAATGCTTATCTCGATTTTTTTCTAAAGAAAAAACTAAAAATATGGTCAAAGGTCATGAAGCAGTAAAACTAGAAGGGGGAAAGCCCCCACTTCCTTCACAAGGACAGAGCCTACTGCTGCTTTATGCCAAGTTTTGTTTCTACAGTAATTTCTTTTGTATGTGTGTGTGTGATGGAGTTTTTGCTCTTGTTGCCCAGGCTGGAGTGCAGTGGCACGATCTTGGCTCACTGCAACCTCTGCCTCCCAGGTTCAAGTGATTCTCCTGCCTCAGCCTCCCGAGTAGCTGGGACTACACGTGCACACCACCACGTCTGGCTAATTTTTTATTTTTAGTATAGATGGGGTTTCACCATCTTGGCCAGGCTGGTCTCGAACTCCTGTCCTCAGGTGATCCTCTTGCCTCGGCCTCTCCAAGTGCTGAGATTACAGGCATAAGCCACCACACCCGGCCCCAACCTTTACTTTATATTGCTTAGCAAGCTTGTCCAACCCACAGCCCACAGGCTGCATGTGGCCCAGGACAGCTTTGAATGTGGCCCAGGACAGCTTTGAATGTGGCCCAACACAAATGAATAAACTTTCTTAAAACATTGTGAGATTTTCTTTGTGATTTTTTTTTGCAGCTCATTAGCTATGATTAGTGTTAGTGTATTTTATGTATGGCCCAAGACAATTCTAATTCCAATGTGGCCCAGGGAAGCCAAAAGATTGGACACCTCTGGCCTATGGTTTCTTTTTTTTTTTTTGAGACGGAGTCTCGCTCTGTCGCCCAGGCTGGAGTGCAGTGGCACGATCTTGGCTCACTGCAAGCTCCGCTTCCCGGCTTCACGCCTTGCTATTAGATGCTCCTTTTTTTTGCCTCAGCCTCCCGAGTAGCTGGGACTACAGGTGCCTGCTACCACACTCAGCTAATTTTTTTGTTATTTTTTTTAGTAGAGACGGGGTTTCACTGTGTTAGCCAGGATGGTCTCAATCTCCTGACCTCGTGATCTGCCCGCCTCGGCCTCCCAAAATGCTGGGATTACCAGCATGAGCCACCGCACCCGGCCAACTCATGGTTTCTTACAACAAAGTTCATTGTATTTCTTTTTTGTATAAAAAGATTTAAAGTATTGGTCTTTTGAGGAAGTTAAGATGCATCACCACTATATTCCAACTGAGCCATTAATCATGTCGCTTTATGTTTTCCACATTAACGTGTTTGCTTTTATGAGGTGCTGAGAAATCAAATCTTTCTGCAGAGGCTCAAGAAAAGGGCCTTTGGAGGCCCGTCTCAAAAAAAAAAAAGAAAAAAGAGAGAAAACTACCACCTTGCAAAGCCCAGGTAACCCCCCGAACCCTAAGAGACACTAAAATGATCATTGAGGGTTTAAATGCCATTACGTCTTGGGGTAGTTTATTACACGGCATTAGATGACTGAAACATGACTCACTGATGCACACAATCAGAATTTGATATTTGCAAGATTAACTTCAAAAAGTAACATGAGGTAGGACCCTGAAATCATGACTGATGATGCAGGCCCAACTTTTTCTAAGTTCCCAGGCTGGGAAAGAAAACAGAATGAGGCGGGTATCAGCTTTGGAATGGAAGTAGCCCTGGATTTCACCCCACCTCTGCCACTGAGCAGCTATGAGTCATATAAGTCCTCTTTGTTTCTCCATCTACAAAATAAAGAGGACAATAACTACTTTTGGGAGTGATTTTGAGAATAAATTGACATATGCTAAGCATATGGCACTTTAGAGTTCAAGGTTTTTTGTTTGTTTGTTTTTTCAGACAGGGTCTCACTCTGTTGCCCAGGCTGGAGTGCAGTGGCACGATCAAGGCTCACTGCAGCCTTGACCTCCCAGGTTCAAGCAATCCTCCCATCTCTACCTCCAGAGTGCCTGGAACTATAGGCGTGCACCACCATGCCCAGTTATTTTTTTTTTTTTTTTTTGTAGAGACAGTCTCACTATGTTGCCCAGGTTGGTCTCAAACTCCTGGGCTCAAATGACTCTCCCACCTCGGGCTCCCAAAGTGCTGGGATTATGGGTGTCAGCCATTGTGCCCAGCCAATTAAATGTTTTTGAACCTTGAGAAAACAGGCCTCCTCAGAACTTCTAGAATCCCAAGAATGCTCCTCCCGGACCGTACTTCAACATGCCCCTCGGGTCTCCTCACACCTGCGGGAGCCTCAGCTCCAGTGGGGATGCTGCTTCTTCAAGAACAGAGGCAGGAGCCTGGCCTGGTGTGCAGCTCCGAGCTCCCGCCTGCTGTGCAGAAGCCATACCTGCCGTGTGGAAGGGTCCCTGCAGTGTCTGCACCAGGGCTTGGATTTCAGGCACATTCTCCAGCAGGGCTTGTCCGGTGAAGAGGGGGTTGATTTTGGCAGCTTTATGACCATGCTCACAATATACTGTCACCAACCTGGCAAGGCCATGATCAACTAAATCAGGGGAAAATTTAAAAATGCAAACAGTTTAGGAGATGACTACAAATCACAAAAATCAGATTTTCAAAGAAGCTCTTACAGCCCTAGACACCTTACTTTTTATTTATTTATTTATTTTAGAGACAGGGTCTTGCTCTATTGCCCAGGCTGGAGTGCAGTAGAACCATCACTTTTTTTTTTTTTTTTTTTTTTGAGATGGAGTCTTGCTCTGTCGCCCAGGCTGGAGTGCAGTGGCACAATCTCGGCTCACTGCAAGCTCTGCCTCCCAGGTTCACGCCATTCTCCTGCCTCAGCCTCCCAAGTAGCCTGGCTAATTTTTTTGTATTTTTAGTAGAGACGGGGTTTCACCATGTTAGGCAGGATGGCCTCAATCTCCTGACCTCATGATCTGCCCGCCTCGGCCTCCCAAAGTGCTGGGATTACAGGCGTGAGCCACCGCACCCGGCCAAGAACCATCACAGCTCACTGCAACCTGGGCTCAAGTGATCCTCCTGCCTCAGTCTCCCGAGTAGCTGAGACTACAGGCGTGCACCACCACATCTGGCTAATTTTTTTTTTTTTGGTTGAGATGGAGTTTAACCATGTTGCCCAGGTTGGTCTTGAACCCCTGAGCTCAAGCGATTCACTCATCTTGGCCTCTCAAAGAAGGCCAAGAAACACATTTTTACAATTTGTGTTTTTATTTTCAGAACCCAGAGACAATTGTTAGCATATTTTCAAACTTCTTCTTTTTCTTCTTTTCTTTTTTTTTTTTTCAGACATTGTCTTGCTATGTCACCCAGGCTGGAGTGCAGTGGTTCAATCTTGGCTCACTGCAACCTGCGCCTCCCGGGTTCAAGTCATTCTCCTGCCTCAACCTCCCGAGTAACTGGGACTACAGGTTCCCGCCACCACGCCCGGCTAATGTTTTGTATTTTTAGCAGAGATGGGGTTTCACTGTGTTAGCCAGGATGGTCTTGATCTCCTGACCTCGTGATCTGCCTGCCATGCCTCCTGAAGTGCTGGGATTACAGGCGTGAACCAATGTACCTGGCCCACATATTTTAAAACTTATAAGGTCCATTTTATGAACAAGTGTTGCTGTGGAATGATTTCAGAGCCACCCATGCACTTGGGTTTGTATTCTATGCACTGCCAAAGCACAACTTTTTTTTTTTTTTTTTTTTGAGACGGAGTCTTGCTCTGTTGCCCAGCCTGGAGTGCAGTGGCGTGATCCTGGCTCACTGCAAGCTCCACCTCCCGGGTTCATGCCATTCTCCTTCTTCAGCCTCCTGAGTAGCTGGGACTACAGGCGCCTACAGGCGCCCACAGGCACCCGCCACCACGCCCAGCTAATTTTTTCTATTTTTAGTAGACACAGGGTTTCACCATGTTAGCCAGGATGGTCTCGATCTCCTGATGCCATGATCCACCCACCTCGGCCTCCCAAAGTGCCGGGATTACAGGCGTGAGCCACCTCACCCAGCCAAAGCACACCTCTTTACTTGTAGCAGGTTTAGTGAGGAAAGAACAGAGAGGTATTGAACACACACAGGATGTGTTTGCACTCATACACCAGTTAGGTGGATCCATAATAGCTCAAATAAATGAATCAAACCATCCCAGGAAACGAACTGATTTCAGCCTGGGGGTTAGTCCTATAAATTGCTAAGGGTTCTATTTTGAACCTTATTCAAGTTCTCCATCAGTGTCATATGAAGTAGGAAACCTTTATATTTGTGGCTAAAATCCAGACAGACTATGTCTAAAGCATGTCCCTGTGGGCCACTCTCACCTTTTATTTTTTTATTTTTTTTCTTGAGATGGAGTCTCACTCTATCGCCAGGCTGGAGTGCAGTGGTGCAATCTCGGCTCACTGCAATCTCTGCCTCCCGGGTTCAAGTGATTCCCCTGCCTCAGCCTCCTGAGTAGCTGGGACTACAGGTGCATGCCACCATACCCAGCTTATTTTTTGTATTTTAGTAGAGATGGGGTTTCACTATGTTGGCCAGGATGGTCTCGATCTCCTGACCTTGTGATCCACCTGCCTCGGCCTCCCAAAGTGCTGGGATTACAGGCATGAGCCACCGCACCCAGCTCCTACTCTCTCCTTTTAAGAACATATTCTTCCCTGGGCTCTACAGCATTGCAGGAACCCGGTTTTCTTTCTAACTCCAGAGCTACTCAACCTCAGTCACTTTTGAGGGACTTCTCTTTGCCCAACTCTAAATATTGGTAGCCAGGCATGGTGGTGCACACCTATAATCCCAACTACCCAAGAGGCTGAGGGAGGAGCTTGAACCCAGGAGTTCGAGGCTGCACTGAGCTGGAAATCTCACCACTGCACTCTAGCCTGGGTGAGAGAGCAAGATCCCATATCTAAAAAATAAAATACATAAAATATTGGTACTCCCCAGCTCTGCCCAAGGCCACCTTCTCAGTCTACTTTCTCTCTGAGCGATCTCCCCCCAACTCATGATTAGTGGTATAAGAACAATAGCAAACATACAGGGCAATCTCCATTCCCATTGCAAACCAGCAGCCATATTGAAAACGTCCCCTTAGAGGCCGAGGCCAGTGGGTCACTTGAGGTCAGGAGTTCAAGACCAGTCTGGCCAACATGGTGAAATCCCATCTCTACTAAAAATACAAAAATTAGTCGGGTGTGGTCGCACGTGCCTGTGGAGGCTGAGGCAGGAGAATCGCTGGAACCTGGGAAGTAGACATTGCAGTGAGCCGAGATGGTGCCACTGCACTCCCGCCTGTGTGACACAGCAAGACTTTGTCTCAAAAAAAGAAAAAAGAAAACATCCCCTTAGAGAAGAACCCATGTCAATGCCTAGAGATCACTGCTTCTATTTCTTTTTCTTTTTTTTGAGACGGAGTCTCACTCTGTCACCCAGGCTGGAGTGCAGTGACACAATCTCAGCTCACTGCAGCCTCCGCCTTTTGGGTGCAAGCGATTGTCCTGCCTCAGTCTCCAAGTAGCTGGGGTTGCAGGTGCGTGCCGCCATGCCCGGCTAATTTTTGTGGGGTTTTTGTTGGTTTTGTTTTTTTTTTCTGAGGTGGAGTCTTGCTCTGTTGCCCAGGCTGGAGTGCAGCGGCACGATCATGGCTCATTGCAACCTCTGTTTCCCAGGTTCAGGCAATTCTCCCATCTCAGTCTCCGGAGTAGCTGGGATTACAGGCACGTGCCACCACACCTGGCTAATTTTTGTATTTTTAGTAGAGAAGAGGTTTCACCATGTTGGCCAGGCTGGTCTCCAACTCCTGACCTCAGGTGATCCACCCGCCTCGGCCTCCCAAAGTGCTGAGATTACAGGCATGAGCCACTGTGACTGGCCCACTGCTTCTATTTCTAAGTACTCACTAGCCAGGCTGCTAATGATACACTAGAATACTGACACAGAAGTTGGCACAAAATAACCCTCCTTGCCACAAAGAACATGAGGCATGTAGCAGTTTGGCACCAGCAGAAAGAGGAAGTCCTCTCTCATGTCAGGCACGTCCTCCATTCACCCTGGCAACACATGCTCCCTCAGACTACCATTTCTTCGGGCAGGTTTCTTCTTCCACCAACCCTATCTCCAACCCCTTCCCTCTCTGTCTCCACCTCCTTCCACCGAGACCTCTGGCACTCTGTTTCATGAAAAACAAACCTCTCTGAACGTTCCTCACACTCCTGGGTTTAATCAGAACTTGGCTGTCCCTAGAGAGCATGAGTACGACGTGAAGGTACTCAGTGGCCCTCACCCGCACCCTCCAATCTTGAAGACAAACGTAGGCCCTCCTCATTCTTCATTGACATCTCCCTATCATTAGTTCTCTCTTTATAAACCCATCCTCTGAGGAACAAGCAATGGCATTAACTCATCTCAAATTGCCGACAGCCATTAAAAAATAATATTGTAGAAGAATGATTGATGAAAAAGCATCCAGACTTAATGAATGGCCGGGCACAGTGGCTCATGCCTGTAATCCCAGCACTTTGGGAGGCCAAGGCGGGCCAAGGTGACCTCATCACCTGAGGTCAGGAGTTTGTGATCAGCCTGGCCCACATGGTGAAACCCTGTCTCTACTAAAAACAAGAAATTAGCCAGGCCTGGTGGCAGACACCTGTAATCCCAGCTACTCAGGAAGATGAAGTAGGAGAATTGCTTGAACCCAGGAGGCAGAGGTTGCAGTGATCCGAGGTTGTGCCATTGCACTCCAGCCTGGGTGACAAGCATGAAACTCCATCTCAAAAAAAAAAAACAAAAAACACTTAATGAATGACCACAACATATAAAGCATGCACCTACATTGTTACACTGTGTATGTACATATGAGTAGTTTATAATATATATTTCATCTTATAGTATATGTATTAGTATATGTAATTATATATACTTATATATATGCACACATATATTTTTCATAAACAAAAGAAACTGATCAAAAATTTAAGTGATAATCCTATGTAGAAATTGCCGACTTGTTCTTTTTTCTTCCTTTTTTTTTTTTTTTTTTTTATCAGAAACAGGGTCTGGCTGGCTGGGCTTGGTGGCTCACGTCTGTAATCCTAGCACTTTGGGAGGCGGAGGCAGGAGGATCACAAGGTCAGGAGATCGAGACTATCTTGGCTAACACGGTGAAACCGTCTCTACTAAAAATACAAAAAATTAGCCGGGCGTGGTGGCGGGCACCTGTAGTCCCAGCTACTCGGGAGGCTGAGGTAGGAGAATGGCGTAAACCCGGGAGGCGGAGCTTGCAGTGAGCTGAGATCGCGTCACCGCGCTCCAGCCTGGGCGACACAGCAAAACTCCGTCCCGAGAAAAAAAGAAACAGGGTCTGGCTATATTACCCAGGCTGGACTCATACTCCTGGGCTCGAGAGATCCTCCTGCCTCAGCCTCCCAAGTAGCTGGGATTACAGGTGCACGTCATCACACCCAGGCAGATTTGCTATTTTTTGCTTACTGTATTCTCACAGTTTTCCACAGTGAACATGTACAATAAAGCTCTTTTTTTTTGAGACAGAGTCTCGCTCTGTTGCCAAGGCTGGAGTGCAGTGGCACCATCTCGGCTCACTGCAACCTCTGCCTCCTGGGTTCAAGCGATTCTCCTGCCTCAGCCTCCCAAGTAGCTGGGACTACAGGCCTGTGCCACCACATCCAGCTAATTTTTTGTATTTTAGTAGAGACGGGGTTTCACCGTGTTAGCCAGGATAGTCTGTATCTCCTGACCTCGTGATCCGCCCACCGCGGCCTCCCAAAGTGCTGGGATTACAGGCGTGAGCCACCGCACTCGGCAATAAAGCTCTTTCGAATGCAGCCATTTAGCGGACTTGCTGCCTGATGCACTCACTCTAAAAGCTTTGGTTTGTGGCTTCTCTCTAGCATATGCAGCACTGCTCTCATCAGTTGACTTTGTGCTTATAAGAATCAGTTCTATTTGTCCCTAAGACTGTTGCTGTGGGAAAAAGTAAAATTAGGGGAAGAAATCAGAAAAATCTAGAGATTTTGCATTCAGATTGCTTTATTTTCTTTTTCCTTTTTTTTTTTTGAGACAGAGTCTCGCTCTGTCAAAATTGTTTTAAAAGAAAAAACAAAAGAAGTAAAAAAAAGAAGTAAAATAAAAATAAATGGAATTAACTGATCAAGTTCCAATTTCAAATGCTCTAGATAAAACGTACTTCAACTGTATTACCTTTATAATAAAGAATGAAATTAAAAGATTTAATTCTTTTTCCCTGGAAGGATAGAAAAATAAATAAAAATAAAATTTAAAAGAATGAGAGCACAGCAATAGAATTATTCATAAAATACTTCCTATTACTGGATGGCCATTGTGGCTCACACCTGTAATCACTTTGGGAGGCTGGGGCAGGAGGACCTCTTGAGGTCAAGGGTTTGAGACCAGCCTGGGCAACAGAGTGAGACCCTGTCTCTACAAAAAATACAAAAATTGGATGGGCGCAGTGGCTCATGCCTGTAATCCCAGCACTTTGGTAGACCGAGGCGGACGGATCACAAGGTCAGGAGATCGAGACCATCCTGGCTAACACGCTGAAACCCCATCTCTACTAAAAATACAAAAAAAATCATAAGCAAGACTCCATCTCAGAAAAACAAAACCAAAACCAAAAAAAACCCCACAGAAATTAGCCGGGCATGGCGAGAAGCACCTGCAACCCCAGCTACTTGGAGGCTGAGGCAGGATAATCACTTGCACCCAGAAGGCGGAGGCTGCAGTGAGCTGAGATTGTGTCACTGCACTCCAGCCTGGGTGACAGAGCGAGACTCCGTCTCAAAAAAAAGAAAAAGAAACAGAAGCAGTGATCTCTATGCATTGACATAGGTTCTTCTCTAAGGGGATGTTTTCTTTTTTCTTTTTTTGAGACAAAGTCTTGCTGTGTCACACAGGCCGGAGTACAGTGGCACCATCTCGGCTCACTGCAATGTCTACTTCCCAGGTTCCAGCGATTCTCCTGCCTCAGCCTCCACAGGCACATGCGACCACACCCGGCTAATTTTTGTATTTTTAGTAGAGATGGGATTTCACCATGTTGGCCAGACTGGTCTTGAACTCCTCACCTCAAGTAACCCACTGGCTTCGGCCTCTAAGGGGACGTTTTCAATATGGCCGCTGGTTTGCAATGGGAATGGGGATTGCCCTGTATGTTTGCTATTGTTCTTATACCACCTCTGCCTCCCAAAGTGCTGGGATGACAGGCATGAGCCACCAGGCCTGACCTGTTTATTTGTTTTTTTGAGACATAGTCACTCCGTGGCCCAGGCTGGAGTGCAGTGGAGATTTTGGCCACTGCATTCCAGCCTGGGGCAACATAGCAAGACCCGCGGTAGCTCACGCCTCTAATCCCAGCACTTTGGGAGGCCGAGGAGGGTGGATCATGAGGTCAAGAGATCGAAACCATCCTGGCTAACACGGTGAAACCCCATCTCTACTAAAAAAAAAACAAAAAATTAGCCGGGCATGGTGGCGGGCACCTGTAGTCTTGGCTACATGGGAGGCTGAAGCAGGAGAATGGCGTGAACCCAGGAGGCAGAGTTTGCAGTGAGCAGAGATCGTGCCACTGCACTCCAGCCTGGGCGACAGAGCAAGACTCCGTCTCAAAAACAAAACAAAAAAATACAAAAATTAGCTGGATGTGGTGGCACGTGCCTGTGATCTCAGCTACTGAGGAGACTGAGGTGGCAGGATCACTTGAGCCCAGGAGTTTGAGGCTATGGTAAGCTGTAATTGTGCCACTGCACTCAGTCTGGGCGACACAGAGTGTCTCAAAGAAAACAAAACAAAACAAAACAAAACAAAAAGCAAAACTTTCTATTACTGCAGAAATGAAAGAATTACTGTAAGAGAAAAATGAATACCTTTACGTTAGGCGTAATACCGCCCAAACAGTTTACTGTTCATAATATCTGCAAAAGGTCACAGGAATTAGATTTGATGTTTAAGTCCGTAACGAAGCCAGAGAGAATAGAGAAAACAACAGCAGATACACGCCTGCACTCCTCTTAAAAATAAAGGAGAATATCAGAGGCATGCTTCTGGCTCAGAAGACTAACACATGGTAGACGCTCAAGAAATATTTGTTATTATTTGAATGAAGTCCTGAGATCAAGAGTCATGCTTCATGATAAAAGCTTTTCAGAGCCCTCAAACTTAGAGTACAAGAGCTGAAGCAGCTTCTTCTCCCTCACTTTGCACCCTCCCATGCCAAGCTGTGGGGCCTGGTGGGGATGCACGCATTACTCCAGTCTGCCTTGCTGCTGGAGAGGCTGAGTCAAGCTGGGCCAGACTGAGCTTTTCCAGATTTTGAAACTCGGAATTGAGAGATAGCTTATGAGAAAAAAGCTAGCCAGAGACTGCAGCCTTCAGAAAAGCCTGGTTGAGGGCAGATGGCTTGAGCTCCGGAGTTCAAGACTAGCCTGGCCAACATGTGAAACCCTGTTTCTACTAAAAATACAAAAATTAGCCAGGCATGGTGGTGAGCACCTGTAGTCCCAGCTACTCAAGAGGCTGAGGCAGGAGAATCTCTTAAACCCGGGAGGTAGAGGTTGCAGTGAGCTGAGATCATGCCACTGCACTCCTGCCTGGGTGACAGAGCAAGACCCTGTCCAAAAAAAAAAGTAAAAGAGCTAATATTTTCATGGACTGGGTGCAGTGGCTCATGCCTATAATCCCAGAACTTTGGGAGGCAGAGGTTGTTGGGTCACTTGAGGTCAGGAGTTCGATACCACCCTGGCCAATATGGTGAAACCACGTCTCTACTAAAAATATAAAAATTAGCTGGGCGGGGTGGCATATGCCTGTAATCTCAGCTAATCAGGAGACTGAGGCAGGAGAATCACTTGAACCCAGGAGGAATAGGTTGCAGTGAGCCAAAATCACCCCACTGCACTCCAGCCTGGGCCACGGAGTGACTGTGTCTCAAAAAAACAAATAAACAGGTCAGGC
This sequence comes from Homo sapiens, assembly GCF_000001405.40. NCBI lineage: Eukaryota > Metazoa > Chordata > Mammalia > Primates > Hominidae > Homo > Homo sapiens. The sequence goes on along the minus strand of NC_000010.11, from coordinate 12,073,027 downwards.
ACGGTGGCTCATGCCTGTAATCCCAGCACTTTGGGAGGCCGAGGTGGGTGGATCACCTGAGGTCGGGAGTTCGAGACCAGCCTGACCAACACAGAGAAACCCTGTCTCTACTAAAAATACAAAATTAGCCAGGTGTGGTGGTACATGCCTGTAGTCCTAGCTACTCAGGAGGCTGAGGCAGGAGAATCACTTGAACCCAGGAGGCAGAGGTTGTGGTGAGCTGAGATCGTGCCATTGCACTCCAGCCTCGGCAACAAGAGCGAAACTCCATCTCAAAAAAAAAAAAAAGGAAGAACACCCATGAATCACTACTCCTAAACCCACCTCCATTTTAAATTGGCATTGTTGATAAATAAATTCAAGTTTCCTTGGAAATCAAGGTTTACAGAGGTGAAAGTACAAGCTGTTACAAATACCTAGTTACAAAGAACACTCATCATGGGTCAAATTGTAACTAGTGAAACCACTGCCATCCAAAAGGTTACTAGAGGCAAATTCAATATCTATTTAATTATTTATTTGTATTTATTTATTTATTTATTTATTTATTTATTTATTTATTTATTGAGACAGAGTCTTGCTCTATCACCCAGGCTGGAGTGCAGTGGCTTGATCTCAGCTCATTGCAACCTCAGCCTCCCAGGTTCAAGTGATTCTCCTGACTCAGCCTCCCGAGTAACCGGTATTATAGGCACACACCACCAGGTCAATTTTTGTATTTTTAGTAGAGATGGGGTTTCACCATGTCAGCCAGGCTGGCCTGGAACTTCTGGCCTCAAGTGATCTTCCCAGCTCGGCCTCCCAAAGTGCTGGGATTACAGGCATGAGCCACCACACCCAGGCTCAATATCTCTTTAAAGCCTTAATACAAGGGAAGTCTTAGTGAATGATGTGGTCATCCTATGTAGACATTTATTTTAGCCAAGATAAACATATGAAGAAAGAAGGCCAGTGAACCCGGCGCACGCTGAAGTGAGCTGTGACTGCACCACTGCACTCCAGACTAGGTGACATAGAAAGATCTCATCTCAAAAAATAAAAATAAAACACGGTAATAGTTTAATATGTTGCCTAACATATAAAGATACTTGATAATTAATGTTACGTTTGCACATACAAAATGCAAATGTACTATATGTCACAAATAAATTGCGTATATAGAACCCTCTTTTCATTCCTTAGGAAGTATAAATTATTTGGGGCTGGACACGGTGGCTCGCGCCTATAATCCCAACACTTTAGGGGGCCGAGGCAAGCATTTCACCTGAGGACAGGAGTTCGAGACCAGCCTGGGCAACATGGCAAGACCCTGTCTCAAGTGATCTGTCTGTCTCGGCCTCCCAAAGTGCGGGGATTACAGGCGTGAGTCACTGTGCCTGGCCCCACGTCTGCACCACACCCAGCTAATTTTTGTATTTTTGCTAGAGACGAGGTTTCACCATGTTGGCCAGGCTAGTTTTGAACTCCTGACCTGGTGATCCGCCCACCTCGGCCTCCCAAAGTGCAGGGATTACAGGCATGAGCCACCGCGCCCGGCCTAATAAATAAAATTTAAAAAATAAAAACTAAAAAGATTTGATGTGAAATATGAGGTGAAAAAGATAAAGGTGGATTGCTCATCTCAGATTACTATACCTCTGTGGCAGAGACTGCTACGATTCCTAACTTCCATTCTGAACCCTCTCTTTGATAGTAATAGAGAGCCCAGTATATGGCCACCCAGAACAAAGAGCCACCTCCCAGCCTTCCCCATAACCTGGTGGCCATGTGACTAAGTTTTGGACAATGGGAACGTAGCAGCAATGTATGCAACTTCTGGGTCATGACCGTAAGGGGAAGGAAAGAAGATATCCCTTCTCTTTGTATATCACAGCACCTGAACTCTTCCAATCTAATACAGAATTTGGTACCAGAGGTGGGTTGCTGCCCTAACAGAGCCTAAAAATATATATGGCATTGGATTAGCAGCCAGGCAATGGGTACCAAGGACACAGGTATTTCCACCTAGAAAGCTGATGGGCAGTGTTATGCTACAGGACAAAACATTTGGTTTTTGTCCTGTAGGACAGGACTGAGGCAGACTACATGCCCTTGAAGCCTGTAGCTCAGGAGCGTATGTTCATTGTATCTTGTCACTTTCAGGAAGGCCCAAGAAGAAAGATGAGGTCAAGTTGGAGCTCCCTAATGAGCAAGTAGACAGGAAGGGGAATTCGGCTCTGCAAAAAGGAGGTTCCCTCTTGGCCAGGCACGGTGGCTCATGCCTGTAATCCCAGCACTTTAGGAGGCCAAGGCCAGTGGATCACTTCAGGTCGGGAGTTCAAGACCAGCCTGGCCAACATGGTGAAACCCCATCTCTACTAAAAATACAAAAATTAGCTGGGCATGGTGGCAGGTGCCTGTAATCCCAGCTACTCGGAACACTGGGGCAGGACAATCGCTTGAACCCAGAAGACAGAGGTTGCAGTGAGCCAAGATCGTGCCACTGCACTCCAGCCTGGGCGACAAAGCCAGACTCCATTTTAGGATTAAAAAAAGAGAGAGAGACAGAGATATGAGGTTTATTTTAAATGCCCTCCGAAGTGAAGAGCAAAATATTGAAGTTCTAGTGTGTGATTGATGGAACATTCCAAGGTCAGGTGCCCAGATGCCGAAGGGGATCTTCAACATTAATCTAATGATCAGATCAAAGATGCCAAATGATTTTCCTCTAATAAGCAATCTGTACTTATCTTCTACTCCGTGAGGATAAATAATGATACAATAATTTTGGAGCGTAAACCAAATACTCAAAATTAGTCTCGCAAATGAGCATGCAACAGAAGTTCCAAAAGCTGATATTCATGACTGTTAATTCATTAAAACCACCAGCACATATCAAGGTGTCAATAGAGTGGCTAAAAGGAAAAGAAAGAAACCCCACCAGCACATAGTTCCAAATTCAGCAGAGTTAAGAGTTAAACTCTGAAATTAAAGTAACAGACTAGCTACAAGGAGACAAATACATAATAAATATCATGCTGTCTTCCAAGACTGGAACTAACTGCCCACTTCTCCCAAGCAATGCAGTCTTGGACCCCCCCACCTGCTCACATAAAAGAAGCCTCAGAGATGGTCCTGGAAATGTATCCTTGGGAGACCTTAAAACTTTACTTCTCCCACAGCTCCGCCTCATTAAAGAGCTGGTTTTCTAGGCTGGGTGCAGTGGCTCAGCCTGTAATCCCAACACATTGGGAGGCCGAGGCTGCAGGATCAGCTTGAGCTCAAGAGTTCAAGACCAGCCTGGGCAACATGGTGGGACCCCATCTCTACTAAAAATGAAAAAAAAAAAAAAAAAAAAAAAAAAGCTGGGCGTGGTCATCCCTCTGTGTCCCCAGCTACTCGGGACGCTGAGGTGGAAGGATAGCCTGAGCCCAGGAGTTCGAGGCTGCAGGGAGCTGTGGTCGCAGCACTGCACTCCAGCCTGGGCCACAGAGCGAGACTCCGTCTCAAAAAAAAAAAAAAAAAAAAAAGGAAACAAAAAGAGAAAGAAAAAAAGAGTTTCTCACACGTTTCCAACAAAGGAAAGAAAAGCCCTTCCGAAACCAGGTCCGGACCAGCAAGATGGGAAGACCACCCAAGCGTGGACCTCAAAGATCCTCAGTTACAGAGGATGGACGGGGGATGACCCCAACACTGAGCACCCACACCTACCCTCTGCTCCCCTCACCTCCCCCTCCTCCCCACCGGCCGCGCGTTCAGGCCGGCAGCCGGTTCCCCGACCCCGACACCCCACCGCAAATCGGCCAGGGGAGGCTTCTGCGTCCCAGCCCCCGCTCCCACCGCCCGGGCCCCATCCCCGACCTGGGGGGCGCTCCAGGGCGCCCTGGGGCTCGCGGCTCTCGGGCTTCCTCGGCCGGTAGCCGTAAACGCCCCGCTCGGTCTGGTAGCCACGCCAGAAGAGAGGGAGAGCCCGGCCGAGGCCCCGTCGTGCTGCTGCCGCAGTAGCAGAGGCCATGTTCACCAGATGTCCCGGCCAGCATGCTAAGGCGGGAGCCCGAGGGGATCCCACCGGCCCTGGTAAATCCGGGACTCGTCAGAGGCGGCCGGAGCCCCGCCCCCAGACAACGCCCCCGCGCCTGATTGGCCGACGGGCCGGACCCTGGAAGCCAATCCGTGGCAGCGGCACTCACAGCGAAGCGACGCCCAGGATTGGGGCGGGCTTCCAGGGCGGTTCCGGCGGCTGAGACCGCCCTGCTCCACCGCAGGGCGGGGCAAGTAAGTGTTCCGCGGGGCGGCACCTGCTCCCAGTACGAAACAGGATGTAGCTGCAGCGCCTGTAGTCTCCCGCCAGGAGTGTTTACCCATCACGCCTCTGCCCAACCGCATAGACACAGTCTAGGGTGTCTGTTACAGAAAGGACAAATTAGCCACAGGGTGGATAGGAAATGGCTAGGACTGAGACCAAGGGACGCAAAAAGCAAAGGTTACTTAGCGCAGCTACAAAATCAATACCCCTAATTTTTTTGTTTTCTTAAGAAACATTAACAGAGGCCGGGCGCGGTGGCTCACGCCTGTAATCCTAACACTTTGGGGGGCCACAGCGGGAGGATCATCTGAGGTCAGGAGTTTGAGACCAACCTGTCCAACATGGCGAAAACCCATCTCTACTAAAAATACAAAAATTAGGTCGGGCGCGGTGGTTCACGCCTGTAATCCCAGCACTTTGGGAGGCCGAGGCGGGCGGATCACCTGAGGTCGGGGGTTCGAGACCAGTCTTACCAACGTGGAGAAACCTCGTCTCTACTAAAAATACAAAATTAGCCAGGCGTAGTGGTGGGTGCCTGTGGTCCCAGCTACTCGGGAGGCTGAGACAGGAAAATCGCTGGAACCCGGGAGGTGGAGGTTGCGGTGAGTTGAGATGGCGCCATTGCACTCCAGCCTGGGCAACAAGAGCGAAACTCCGTCTCAAAAAAAACAGAACAAAAACAAACAAACAAACGAACAAAAAAAAAAAAACAAAACAGGCTGCAGTGGCTCATGCCTGTAATCCCAACACTCTGGGAGGCCCTCTGGGAGGCCAAGGAGGGCGGATCACGAAGTCAGGAGTTCGAGACCATCATGGCTACTATGGTGAAACCCCGTCTCTACTAAAAATACAAAAATTAGCCGAGTGTGGTGGCGGGTGCCTGTAGTCCCAGCTACTCGGGAGGCTGAGGCAGAAGAATCGCTTAAACCCTGGAGGCAGAGGTTGCAGTGAGCCAAGATCGTGCCCACTGCACTCCAGCCTGGGCGACAGAGCGAGACTCTGTCTCACAAACAAACAAAAAACATTAAGAGAGAAAGAAGGAAATAGGGTAAAGGGAGCAGGGAAGAAAGGGATAAGAGTCAAAAGAAACTGGACATGAACGATTAGTTGGTCTGTCTCTGAGTGAGTTTCCCAAATGATTTTTTTTCTGTGGCTTACTTTTAACTTTGCCAGTATGGTAGGAGAGAGAGTCTGCATCCTTACCTGGTTAGTCATCCTTCGTTCCAGTAAGCTGTGCAGCTATACCCCAAACTCCTAGGAATATTATACATACAAGCCCAAGACATCCTCCTTCTTACTCATTCAACCAGTACACTCATAAAGCACTCTGCTGGGTTACAAAGATTAATAAGGCACAGTTTCTGCCCTTAGTTCCCAGTCTAGCTGTAGATAGAACTCAGCACACAGGATGATAGATTATATAATGTAGGCACATGTAAGTGCCCCCTGCAAGCACAGGAGCGTCATCCAGCACAGCTACTGTAGCTGGGACCCCTTAGGTCCACACTTTGGTGGCCTCCCCATCTTGCTAGTTTGGACCTGGTTTTGCAAGGGCTTGTCTTTTTTTTCCTTTTTTTTTTTTTTTTTTTTTTTTGAGACGGAGTCTCGCTCTGTCGCCCAGGCTGGAATGCAGTAGGGCAATCTCGGCTCACTGCAACCTCCATCTCCCGGGTTCAAGCAATTCCCCTGCCTCAGCCTCCCGAGTAGCTGGGATTTCAGGCGCCTGCCACCACGCCCAGCTAATTTTTGTTGCTGTTGTTTTTGTTTGTTTGTTTGTTTGTTTGAGACAGAGTTTCTCTCTTGTTGCCCAGGCTGGAGAGCAATGGCGAGATCTCCACTCACTGCAACCTCCGCCTCCCAGGTTCAAGTGATTCTCCTGCCTTAGCCTCCCAAGTAGCTGTGATTACAGGCATGCGCCACCACGCCCAGCTAATCTTTTTTTTTTTTTCCTTTTGAGACAGAGTCTCGCTCTATCGCCCAGGCTGGAGTGCAATGGCGCGATCTCGGCTCACTGCAAGCTCCGCCTTCCGGGTTCCAGCCATTCTCCTGCCTCAGCCTCCCGAGTAGCTGGGACTACAGGCGCCCACCACCACACCCAGTTAATTTTTTGTATTTTTAGTAGAGATGAGGTTTCACCATGTTAGCCAGGATGGTCTCGATCTCCTGACCTCGTGATCCGCCCACCTCGGCCTCCCAAAGTGCTGGGATTACAGACGTGAGCCACTGCACCCGGCCATCCATGCCCAGCAAATTTTTGTATTTTTAGTAGAGACAGGGTTTCTCCATGTTGGTCAGGACGGTCTCAAACTCCTGACCTCGGGTGATCCACCCACCTCGGCCTCCCAAAGTACTGGGATTACAGGCGTGAGCCATCGTGCCCAGCCCTGGCTAATTTTTTTGTATTTTTAGTAGATAAGGGTTTTCACCATGGTGGCCAGGCTGGTCTTGAGCTTCTGACCTCAAGTGATCAGCCTGCCTCAGGCTTCCAAAGTGCTAGGATTACAGGCGTGAGCCACCGCGCCTGGCCGGACTTGTCTTTTTTATTCCTTGGTTGTGAACCTGTGGGAACCTAGCTCTTTGGACGGGTGGGGCTGTGGGAAAAGAAAATTTCTGAGATCTGAGTGTGTTAGGGGAACCTGCAAGTGGAAGGGAAATTAGAACAGAATCTTGAGGCATGAGGAGTTAGGCAAATGCACAAAGACAAGAGCACACCAAGGAGATGGCAGTGAAGAATAGATATGGGATAACTGGATAATCTAAAGAGCTTTGAGTAGAAAGGAGGGGTTAATTACAGGATCAATGTCCCTCAAGTTGATCCACGAACGAAAAGATAATCTTAGTCAGGGGCATGGACATTTTATATAAGAAGAGGAGGCCAGGCGCGATGGCTCATGCCTGTAATCCCAGCACTTTGGGAGGCTGAGGCAGGTGGATCACCTGAGGTCAGGAGTTCGAGACCAGCCTGGCCAACATGGTGAAAACCCACCTCTACTAAAAATACAAAAAAGTTAGCCAGGCATTATGGCAGGCGCCTGTAATCCCAGCTACTCGGGAGGTTGAGGCAGGAGAATCGCTTGAACTCGGGAGGTGGAGGTTGCAGTGAGCCGAGATCCTGCCATTGCACTCTAGCCTGGGGAACAAGAATGAAACTCCATCTCAAAAAAAAAAGAAGGAAAAGCAAAGAATCAGATACATACTCATGTGCATTGATAGATTTGATCATGGAAGGATATGGGAATTCTTTTCTGCTTCTAATTTTGGTGAAAAAGCAAGATCAGCAGCTGAAAGAGGGAGTGAGGAGATATGGGAGGAGGTTTGAAAGGGAAGAAAAAATTTTGAGACAATGGGCTGAGAAAGAGGACTTATCGGGAACAGTCATGATTTGGGGGTTGCCAACAGCCCACTGAGGCTTCAAGACCAGTCAGAATGGTTGCGAGTTTTTCTCCAGATATATTCAGCTCCCTTTGCAGGTACAGGGCAGAATGGAGATGAATTTACCCAAGTATGGGGTTTTGCTTAGCAGGTTTGATGAAGACATTAGGCAAGGGAGTGTTCACAGCATTGAGCCATAGAAACTAGGCTGGGTAACGGGACAAGCAAAAGGGAGGTTGACACTGAAAAATTGATAGGACCAGTGGATTGAGGGTAACAAGAGGCAAAGAGTTGAAGTGCAGACACTAGAATGAGTGAACTGGTGGTCAGATAGTGGGATGCTTGAAACTGAGATTTTGTATGGAAGGTGGACTTTGGTACTACAGGGAGAGAAACCCCTTCTTGAGGCCTGTGGACCTCAGGTGAGAATACTTGATGTAGATTGGCAGAGTTCAAAATGTTTCTAAAAGTTTGATAGCATGCTGTGTTGGTAAAGGTATGGGCAATAGGTACTCTCATACATTGTTGGTAAAAATGTAAAGTGGTACGAACTATACAGAGGGCAGACTGTGAATATCTTACAAAATTAATAAAATACATTCTGTTTGACCCAGCAGTTCCACCTTTGGGAATTCATACAAAGAACAGACTTTCATGTACACATTCACACACAATTTTGTACATATTCATTGTAGCGTTGTCTATAATTGAAAGAAAAGATTGTGAGGCCCGGCGTGGTGGCTCATGCCTGTAATCTCAGCACTTTGGGAGGCCGAGGCGGGCGGATCACGAGGTCAGGAGATTGAGACCATCTTGGCTAACATGGTGAAACCACGTCTCTACTAAAAAAATACAAAAAAATTAGCCGGGCGTGGTGGTTGGCGCCTGTAGTCCCAGCTACTCAGGAAGCTGAGGCAGGAGAATGGCGTAAACCCGGGAGGTGGAGCTTGCAGTGAGCCGAGATCGTGCTGCTGTACTCCAGCCTGGGCGACAGTGCTAGACTCCGCTCAAAAAAAAAAAAAAAAAAAAGAAAAGATTGTGAGCACCTAAATATCCAAAAATAGGGGATTACGTAAAAGTCCTATACAATGGAATACTATATAGTTGTAAAACAGAACAAAGCATGGCTGGGTACAACGGGTCACATCTATAATCCCAACACTTTGGGAGGCTGAGCTGGGAGGATCACTTGAGGCCAGGAGTTCGAGATCAGCCTGGGCAACATAGGGAGACCTCATCTCTATAGAAAATAAAAATAAATTAGCAGGGTGTGGTGGCACACACCTGTAGTCTCAGCTATTCAAGAGGCTGAGGTGGGAGGATCGCTTGAGCCGGGGAGGTCCAGGCTGCAATGAGCCATGATCACACTATTGAACTCCAGCCTGGGAGACAGAGCAAGACCTTGTCTCAAAAAAAAAATATATATATATATATATTACTGCCATACACACAAACACACACACATATATATATCTTAGGAATTGTTCCAATTCAATAAATAATGAGCTGCTTCCTTTTTTTTTTTTTTTTTTTTTTTTTTGAGATAGGGTCTTGCTCTTTCACCCAGGCTGGAGTGCAGTGGCGTGATCACTGCAGCCTCGACCTCTCGGGCTAAAGTGATCCTCCCACCTCAGCCTTCTGAGTGTTAGGGACAAGCTGCCCCAGGAACCCCCCACCTCAATGCAGCTGGCCCTTACCCTGAATACTCTGCAGCTGCATTCCAGAAACCTTATCTAGGCACCACAGCAAGGTCACCAGACTTGCTATTACAGCCCTGTGGGCAGCATGGGGGAGGTCACAAGAAACATAGATAAACCTAAATTACACCCTCTTGTAAATTCCTATTTTCACAAGATAATGTATTGTAAGCCATTCATGAGATGATATTGGTAAAGTTAACCAACAAACAACCCCAGGGTCTGTCTCCCCCATACACACCCCTCATTTTGTAAGCTCAGGGCTGCATCCTCTGACTGTGATGGAGCAGCCTGGCAGGTTAATAAAATTACTCGCCTGACCTTGGGTCTCTCTCGTCCTGTCTTTCAGATAACCTTACACCGAGTAGCTGGTAAAACAGGTGCATGCCACCACACCAGGCTCATTTTTGTACTTTTTGTAGAGACGGGGTTTCACCATGTTGCTCACGACTGGTCTTGAACTCCTGGGCTCAAGTCATATGCCTGCCTCGGCCTCCCAAAATGCTGGGATTACAGGCATGAGCCACCGCGCCTGGATGAGAAACCTCTTTCTTACATGAGTTCACTCGTACTTTAGGATAAAGCAAAACAGGATGAAAATTAAGAACTCCCGACTGCTGCTGGCAATGCTTTTGCATAAATACTGCTTGAGGAGGATTAGGAGCTAAATCACAAAACAATTAAGGTGGCCATACTTTTCAAGTGTTTAGACTTGCAAATCTTGAACTCGTAAGACCCATCAGTTTCCGCTGACATACACAGTATCACAGTTTCATTTTACACTCCATTTAATTTGCTTGCTCCATTCAACAGAGATGGGTTTTTGGGTCTGGGATTCAGAAAAGAATGTAAAGATTTCAAAATCCATCGAAATGGTCTTTCTCTATTACTTACCATAACCGAAGTCAAGGTCTTATATTAGTGCTATTACAAATAGTTTCTTTTAATCTTCTACTGCACAAAATTAAGTATTTCAGGATTGAATGTGATGAAGCACAGATGTTAAAACCATTCCTTCCTTCTAGGAAATGACTCTGGTATTGCAGTCTAAGCACATAATAAGCCATTAATACATCTCTGTCTGATGAATGCATTGGTAACAGTTGGGAAGTCAAGTGGTCAGACAAGAGAAGGACTGCAGGACTAGGGATAAAAATAAAAAGAGAGAGAGAAAAGAGCGCTATGGCTCACACCTGTAATTCCAACACTTCAGGAGGCCAAGGCGGGAGGATCACCTGAGTCCAGGAGTTCAAGAGCACCCCGGCCAACATGGCAAAACCTCGTCTCTACTGAAAATATGAAAATTAGCCAGGCATCATGGTGCACACCTGTAGTCCCAGGTCCTCAGGAGGCTGAGGCAGGAGAATTGCTTGAACCCGAGAGGTGGAGGTTGCAGTGAGCCCAGATTGAGCCATTGCACTCCAGCCTGGTTGACAGAGGGAGACTCCATCTCAAATAAATATATTTGAGAAAAAAAAAATCACAAAAAAACTCCATAAATATGTATATGTGTATATTTCATCAGTTATCAATAGTGTTAGTATATTTTATCTGTGGCCCAAGACAATTCTTCCACTGTGGCCCAGGGAAGCCAAAAGATTGGACACTCCTGCTTTAGTTTCTTTAGAATATTTTGAACCAAATATAGCAAAATGTTAGCATTTTTCACATTGTAGGTAGAGAGAACATGCGTATTTATTTTATTTACTGTGCTTTTCAGCATTTTAAAATTATTTTTAAAATTATAACCAAAATTAGAAAAAAGAAATAAATGTTATCTTCTCAGCCAGGTCTACCTGCTGTTCCTAAAATTGCAACTAGCTGCCTCACCCCTTATACTCCTGGTCCCCTGATTCTGCTGTACTTTTTTAAATTTTTAATTTAAAATTTTTTTTTTTTATTTTTTGAGACAGGGTCTCACTCTGTCACCCAGGCTGGAGTGCAGGGATGCAATCTTGGCTCACTGCAACCTCAGTCTACCAGGATCAAGCGACACTCCCACCTCAGCCTCCCAACTGGCTGGGACCACAGGTGTGTGCCACCATGCCCAGCCCTTTTTTTTTTTTTTTTTTTTTTGGTATTTTTGGTAGAGACAAGGTTTTGCCATGTTGCCCAGGCTGGTCTTGAACTCCTGAGCTCAGTCAATCCACCTACCTCGGCCTCCCAAAGTGCTAGGATTACAGGCATAAGCCACTGTACTCAGCCTCTGCTGTACTTCTTATTTTTATTATCACACTTATTTCCTAATATACTACATAATCTGCTTATCATTGTTTGTCTATCTCCCCTGACTAATGAGTAAACTCCATGAGGGTAAAGATCTCTGTAGGTCTTGCTCACTGATGAGCTTATGAGCCTAGTGCCTGGATGAACTGAGCACTGTGCATAGATGATCACTGAAAAACCAAGTGCCTAGAATAGCGATTGCCACAAAATAGGTGCATTGTAAATATTTGTCCAATGAACGTATGGGTGTCAGTGCCCGACTGTCTGTATTCAAGTATTGATGCTAGCACTTACAGCTGTGGGGTCTTGGGAAGTTATTTAAACTCTTTAAGCCTCAAAAATGGGATTGTGGCCAGGCACGGTGGCTCATGCCTGTAATCCCAGCACTTTAAGAGGCCGAGGTGGGCAGATCACCTGAGGTCAGGAGTTCCATACTACCCTGGCCAATATGGTGAAACCCTGTCTCTACTAAAAATACAAAAAATTAGCCAGGTGTGGTGTTGTGCACCTGTAATCCCAGCTGTTTGGGAGGCTGAGGCAGGAGAATTTCTTGAACCCGGGAGGTGGAGGTTGCAATGAGCTGAGATCACGCCACTGCACTCCAGCCTGGGCAACAAGAGCGAAACTCCGTCTCAAAAATAAGCAAATAAAAATAAATAAGTAAGTAAGTAAAATGGGGTTGTAATAGTACCTACCTGATAGGTTTGGTGTAGCTATATGTAAAACACTTTACAACAGTCCCTGGCATATTGTAAGTACTTAAGGCATATTAACTATTATTATAACAAGGTCTTATTCACCATAGTGGCCCTTGGCATGATTCCTGGGATTTAATGATCTTGAACATGGATGAGGCCTGGTGAGCAAATGTGTATGTCAGGGTGCAAGACAATTAGCAATGACTGGATGTAAGAATAGGAATATGAGGCTACGCATGATGGTTCACGCCTGTAATCTCAACACTTTGGGAGGCCAAGGCAGGTGGACCGCTTGAACTCAGGAGTTCCAGACCAGCCTAAGCAACATGGAGAAACCTTGTGTCTACAAAAAATACAAAAATTAAGTCCAGGCACGGTGGCTCATGCCTGTAATCCCAGGACTTTGGGAGACCAAGCCAGGTGGATCACATGAGGTCAGGAGTTCGAGACCAGCCTGACCAATATGATGAAACCCCATCTCTACTAAAAATACAAAAAATTAGCCGAGCGTGGTGGTGGGCGCCTGTAGTCCCAGCTACTCGGGAGGCTGAGGCAGGAGAATGGTGTGAACCCAGGAGGCAAAGCTTGCAGTGAGCCGAGATATCACCTCTGCACTCCAGTCTGGTGACAGAGTGAGACTCCGTCTCAAAAAAAAAAAAAACAAAAACAAAAAAACAAAAATTAGCTGGTCATGCTGGCATGTGCCTGTAATCCCAGCTACTTGGTAGGCTGAGACATAAGAATCACTTGAACCCGGGGGGGCGGAGGTTGCAGTGAGCCGAAATCGCGCCATTGGACTCCAGCCTGGGCAACAAGAGCGAAACTCCATCTCAAAAAAAAAAGCAAGAAAGAAAAGCAAAGAAAGAAAAAAAAATTAGCTGGGCATGGTTGTGTGCACCTGCAGTCCCAGCTACTCCATAGGCTGAGGTCAGAGGATCACTTGAGCCCAGGTTGCAGTGAGCCATGATCACGCCACTGCACTCCAGCCTGGGCTGGAATATTCTAGGTATTGGCTTATTTTTTCTCATTAATAGAGTGTTCAAATATGCGAATGGTCAGTTCACTAGGCTAGACACAGGACTATTTTATTTTTGAAGAAGGGTGCTTGCTTGGACTCTTTGGTTTATTTTTTAAAGCACTGAGCATGCTAGAATTTACACTTTTTTAAATTAACGGCTGGGTGTGGTGGCTCACGCCTGTAATCCCAGCACTTTGGGAGGCCAAGGTGGGTGGATCACCTGAAGTCAGGAGTTCAAGACAGCCTGGCCAACATGGTGAAACCCAGTCTCTACTAAAAATACAAAAATTAGCCGGGTGTGGTGGCGTGCACCTGTAGCCCCAGTTCCTTGGGAGGCTGAGGCAGGAGAATCACTTGGACCAGAGAGGGGAAGATTGCAGTGAGCTGAGATGGCACCACTGAACTCCAGCCTGGACTACAAGAGTGAAACTCTGTCTCAATAAATAAATAAATAAATAAAATAAAATAACACATTTATTTATTTATTTATGAGACAGGTCTCACTCCGTCACCCAGGTTGGAGTGCAGTGGTGTGATCATGGCTCACTGTAGCCTTGACCTCCTGAGCTCAAGTGATTCTTCCACCTCAGCCTCCTGAGTAGCTGGGACTACAGGCACCTGCCAGCCACCACACCCATCTAGAATTTATACTTTTATTTTATTTTTAAAAATTTTTTGAGACAGAGTCTCGCTCTGTTGCTCAGGCTGGAGTGCACTGGTGCAATCTCATCTAACTGCAACCTCCGCCTCCCAGGTTTAAGCGATTCTCCTCCCTCAGCCTCCAGAGTAGCTGGAATTACAGGTGTGTGCCACCACATCCAGCTGATGTTTGTATTTTTAGTAGAGACGGGGTTTCACTGTGTTGGCCAGGCTGGTCTCGAACTTCTGATCTCAGGTGATCCACCCACCTAGGCCTCCCAAAGTACTGGGATTACAGGTGTGAGCCACCGCGCCCAGCCACATACCATATTTTCTACCAACAACTTTTTGTTAACAGAAATTCTCAAATGATCTTGATGATGGGGCATGTACATGTATTATTGAATTTGATATGTAACTCAGAATTTATTTATCACAACAGAGGACTAATTTCACTTGCTTTCCTTACCCCTGCCCACTTTAATTAGAGTTTTTTTTTTTTTTTTTTTGAGACGGAGTCTCAGTCGCTGTATTGCCCAGGCTGGAGTGCAGTGGCACGATCTCGGCTCACTGCAAGCTCCGCCTCCTGGCTTCACGCCATTCTCCTGCCTCAGCCTCCCGAGTAGCTGGGACTACAGGCACCTGCCACCATGCCCGGCTGATTTTTTGTATTTTTAGTAGAGACGGGGTTTCACTGTGTTAGCCGGGATGGTCTCGATCTCCTGACCTCATGATCCGCCCGCCTCAGCCTCCCAAAGTGCTGGGATTACAGGCATGAGCCACCGCACCCGGCTTACTAGAGTTTTAAGAGTAGGGTATACATGACCAACTATTCAGACCCAGAAGGGCGAGAAGATGGGATTTATTCAAATCAACTCTTTAGGGTAGACAAAAACATCCTTTTGCTATTGCTATTACTTATTCTCATTTCTTCCTTGGTTGATAGAAATTCCTTAAAAAATGATGGCTCATGCCTGAAATCCCAGCACTTTGGGAGGCTGAGGTGGGCGGATCATTTGAGGTCAGGAGTTGGAAACCAGCTTGGCCAACATGGTGAAACCTCGGCTCCACTAAAAATACAAAAAAATTAGTTGGGCCTAGTGGCAGTTGCCTGTAATCCCAACTATTCGGGAGGCTGAGGCAGGAGAATCGCTTGAACCCAGGAGGGGGAGGTTGCAGTGAGCCAAGAGAGAGCCACTGCACTCCAGCCTGAGCGACAGAGTGAGACTCTGTCTCAAAAAACAAACAAACAAAAAAACAAAACAAAAAACTACTTATTTTCAGCCAAGAGTGATGGCTCCTGTTCATAATTCCAACAGTTTGGGAAGTCAAGGCAGGAAGACTGCTTGAGGCCAAGAGTTCGAGACCAGCCTGGGCAACATAGTAAGATCCTGTCTCTATTTCATAAAATAAAATTAAAATACATGTATAACATTTTTAAAATGATGACTTCTTTTCTTTTCTTTCTTCTGGCTTATACCCACGATCACCTCTTTTTCCTTGTTTAAACACTCTCATTGTGAAATGTATCATACTTACAAAAATATATGAATGTAAGTACATGTATATGACAGTAATTTCTTTTTTTTTTTTTGAGATGGGATTTTGCTCTGTTGCCCAGGCCAGAGGGCAGTGGCGCGATCATGGCTCACTGCAGTCTTGACCTCCGGGGCTCAAGCAATCTTCTCACTTCAGCCTCCCAAGAAGCTGGGTCCACAGGCGTGCACCACCACGCCTAGCTAATTTTTGTATTTTTTTGTAGAGATGGGGTCTTACTATGTTGCCCAGGCTGGTCTCAAACGCCTGGGCTCAAGCAATCCTACTGCCTCAGCCTCTCAAAGTGTTGGGATTATAGGCATGAGCCACTATGCCCGGCTGATAGGTAATATTAAAATAATGATTATCATCGTACTAGTAATCTATTGGTGTGTGACAAATTACGCCACAACTTAGTGCCTTGATACAACAGCCATATGTTATCACACAGTTTCAGGTCAGTACGCCAGAGAGCTTAGCTTAGGGGCTCCGGCTCAAGGCCTCTCAGGAGGCAGTTGCAATTCCAGTGAGATTGTGATTCCATCTGAAGGCTCAGCTGGGAGAGAACTGGCCTCCAAGTTCAGTCACGTGGCTGTTGGCAGGCATGAGTTCCTTACTGGTTGTTGGCCAGAAGCCACCCTCAGTTCTTTGCCATGTGGGCTTCTCCGAAGGACAGCTCCCAACATGGAAGCTTGCTTTCCTCAGAGAAGAGAGAAAGGAGGGGGGCAGGGAGAAAGATAGAGAGAGAGATGACAGAGAGAGAGAGGAGAGTAAGGAGAGAGAGAGCAAGCAAGGGGAGAGAGAGAGAGACTGGGCACGGTGGCTCATGCCTGTAATCCCAGCACTTTGGGAGGCCAAGGTGGGCGGATCACTAGGCCAGGAGTTTGAGACCAGCCTGACCAACAAGGTGAAAACCCATCCCTACTAAAAATACAAAAATTAGCAGTGCGGTGGCATGTGCCTGTAATTCCAGCTACTCAGGAGGCTGAGGCAGGAGAATCACTTGAACTTGGGAAAGGGAGGTTGCAGTGAGCCAAGATCATGCCACTGTACTGCAGCCTGAGTGACAGAGTGAGACTCCGTCTCAAAAAAAAAAAAAAAAAAAAAATCTGACCGGATGCGGTGGCTCATGCCTATAATCCAAGAATCTGGGAGGCCGAAGCGGGTGGATCACCTGAGGGCAGGAGTTCGAGAGACCAGACTGGCCAACATGGAGAAACCCCATCTCTACTAAAAATATGAAAATTAGCAGGGCATGATGGCGACTGCCTGTAATTCCAGCTACTTGGGAGGCTGAGGCAGGAGAATCTCTTGAACCCGGGAGGTGGAGGCTGCAATGAGCTGAGATCGCGCCACTGTACTCCAGCCTAGGCAACAGAGTGAGACTCCATCTCAAAAAAGTAAAATAAAGATATTTTTGAGGTCCTCAGTATGAAAGAGGGAGCCTAGACTTGTAATGCCGAAGAACTCAGAAGTTTAAAGGTTGGGATGAGGAGTTCCGGCAAAGGAGAATGAGAAGTAGCAACATAATTTTTAGGAAACAGGGCTTGGGAGAGAAATATGAGGGTTTGAATGTGTTTTGTGAGTTCTTAGCTATTTGACCTGGGATCATATCTTGGTCTCCAGCTGTAAAATGGAGATAAAGAAGCCTATCTTAGAGAAAGCTAGCATAAGGTTGTGACTAAGTCACACTTGTTTTTTTTTTTTTTTTTTGAGACGGAGTCTTTCTTTGTTGCCCAGGCTGAAGTGCAATGGTGTGATCTCGGCTCATTGCAACCTCCACCTCCTGGGTTCAGGTGATTCTCCTACCTCAGCCTCCCGAGTAGCTGGGATTACAGGCATGTACCACCAGGCCCGGCTAATTCTGTGCTTTTAGTAGAGATGGGGTTTCTCCATGTTGGTCAGGCTGGCCTCGAACTCCTGACCTCAGGTGATCCTCCTGCCTCGGCCTCCCTAAGTGCTGGGATTACAGGCGTCAGCCACCGTGCCCTGCCTGGCTAAATCACTTTTAATCTAAAGAACCTGATTCCTAATCCTAGCTCTGGCACTTAGGTGTGAGCTTAGGCAGGTTACCTGACTTCTTTAACCCTCATTTTTCACATCAGTAAAATGGGCTTAATAATCGTATCTACAGCAGGGCGAGGTGGTTTACGCCTGTAATCCCAACACTTTGGGAGGCCGAGGCAGATGGATCTCTTGAGGTCAGGAGTTAGAGACCAGCCTGGCCAACACGGTGAAACCCTGTCTCTACTAAAAATACAAAAATTAGCTGGGTGTGGTGGTGCGCACTTGTAGTCAGAGCTACTCTGGAGGCTGAGGCAGGAGAATCACTTGAACACGGGAGGTAGATGTTGCAGTGAGTCGAGTTGAGCCACTGCACTCCAGCCTGGGTGACAATGAAATTCAGGCTCAAAAAAATAGTATCTACCACATAACTTATTGTGAGGATTACATAATTAAGTCACTTAAAAATATAGAACTGAATGGCTGGGTTCGGTGGCTCACGCCTGTAATCCCAGCACTTTCGGAGGCCAAGGCGGGTGGATCATGAGGTCAAGGAGATCGAGACCATCCCGGCTAACATGGTGAAACCCCGTCTCTACTAAAAATACAAAAAATTAGCCGGGCACGGTGGCAGGTGCCTGTAGTCCCAGCTATTCGGGAGGCTGAGGCGGGAGAATGGCGTGAACCCGGGAGGCGGAGCTTGCAGTGAGCCGAGATTGCGCCACTGCACTCCAGCCTGGGCGACTGAGCGAGACTCTGTCTCAAAAAAAAAAAAAAATAAAAAAAATAAAAAAATAGAACTGCCAGCAGGGCGCGGTGGCTCACGCCTGTAATCCCAGCACTTTGGGAGGCCGAGGCAGTTAGATCATGAGGTCAGGAGTTCGAGACCAGCCTGGTTAATTAACATGGTGAAACCTGTCTCTACTAAAAATACAAAAATTAGCCGGGCGTGATGGCACATGCCTGTAATCCCAGGTACTTGGGAGGCTGAGACAGGAGAATTGCTTGAGCCTGGGAGGGGAGGTTGCAGCGAACCAAGAGATCACTCTGTCGCCCAGGCAGGAGTGTAATGGCGCGATCTTGGCTTGCTGCAACCTGTGCCTCCCGGGTTCAAGCTTCCACGGAGAAACTTTAGGGATATATTATGCATATATTATTATGTCTGCAGTATACCTTCCAGAAGAAACTAGAAACTTCCAGAATCAGCTATCAAAAATGACACCTATTTCTTTACATGATTACTCTTAGCAACTGACACAAGAAGTGAATGTGCACTAAGGGAAGAGGAAGTCCTGTGTATGCAGGTTATTTGTTATGGCCGGAACTTAGGCATGTGGGGAAGTAGCGGCATGAGCCACGCCCTACCCATGCAACCACTTTTCGCTTGGACTCTGAAATGTTTGGAAGCAGTTGGGCATGGTGGCTCACGCCTGTAATCCCAGCATTTTGGGAGGCCAATGGGGCAGATGACCTGAGGTCAGGAGTTAGAGACCAGCCTGGCCAACATGGTGAAACCCCGTCTCTACTAAACATACAAAAATTAGCCAGGCGTGGTGGCAGGCACCTGTAATCCCAGCAACTCGGAAGGCTGAGGCAGGGGAATTGCCTGAACCCAGAAGGCGGAGGTTGTAATGAGCTGAGATCGTTCCACTGCACTCCAGCCTCGGCAGTGAGCCAAGATCGTGCCGCTGCACTCCTGCCTGGGGGACAGAGTGAGACTCCATCCCAAAATTAAATTAAAGTAATAAGGTTAGGGACGGTGAAGTCTAATCCATTGATTTGTAAAACGAGGGCTCTGAGTCACGGAACAGTTACAAATGACTTGCCCTAGTTTCGCTGGGTTGCACGTGCCCTGTCTGGGCTCTAAGCCTAGACAAACGTCTTTCACTTCCAGTTCAGCCTTCTTTCCTTTGTATTATCATGGTTATAGATTTAGCAACACACTGGTGTGACCCAGGCAGACATTCTTGTGTTATTATATATATTGGTCTGTCTTGTTTGAACTAGATTATAAAATCATGTCTTTTCTTTTTTTTTTTTTTTTTTTTGTTTTTTGAAATGGAGTCTCGCTCTGTGGCCCAGGCTGGAGTGCAGTGGCGTGATCTTGGCTCACTGCAAGCTCCGCCTCCCGGGTTCACGCCATTCTCCTGCCTCAGCCTCCCGAGTACCTGGGACTACAGGCGCCCGCCACCACACCCGGCTAATTTTTTGTATTTTTAGTAGAGATGGGATTTCACCATATTGGCCAGGATGGTCTCAATATCTTGACATCGTGATCCACCTGTCTCGGCCTCCCAGAGTGCTGTAAAATCATGTCTTTTCTTATTCCATATTCTGATGATGTTAATGGGGATATCTGTATTACCACTGTATGTGGTAGTCAGTTGTATAAGGTGGGGGAAACATCTTAGAATGGAAGGAAATCTTATATAAGAGTGTGAACTTTGTCATCACACAGCCTGAGTTGAGTAGCTATGTAATCCTGGGCACATTATTTAACTATGCTAAGCACGTTCCCCCCATCTGTAAAAATAGGGAAAATAGGACCTATCAAATAGAAGCATTAGATGGATTAATGCCTGACACATACTTAGAGGTGTCCATTCAACCTCTCACTGATAAAAACTTGAATAGCTTTCATGCAAATCACCAAAAGGGGTGTGTTTAGTCTGTTAAGAGTTAGTATATCACTTGGTAAATAAAAATGAAACTCCAGGCTATAATGTAATGGTTTCCTCCAAAATATCCTTTCTTGGCCAGGCACGGTGGCTCATGCCTGTAATCTCAGCACTTTGGGAGGCCAAGGCAGGCAGATTGCTTGAGCTCAGGGGTTCGAGACCAGCCTGGGCAACACGGTAAAACTCTATCTCTACAAAAAATACATAAAAATTAGCCTGGCATGGTGGTATAAGCTTGTAGTCCCAGCTACTTGTGGGGGCGGGGGTCTAAGGCAGGAGGATTGCTTGAACTTTGGCAGGTTGAGGCTGCAATGAGCTGGGATGGTGCCATTGCACTCCAGCCTGGGTGACAAAGTGAGACCCTGTCTTTGTGGTTGTTTTTTTTTTTTTTTTTTTTTTTTTTTTTTGAGATGGAGTCTCGCTCCGTTGCCCAGGCTGGAGTGCAGTGGCGCGATCTCGGCTCACTGCAAGCTTCGCCTCCCGGGTTCATGCCATTCTTCTGCCTCAGCCTCCCGAGTAGTGGGACTACAGGCACCCGCCACCATGCCCAGCTAATTTTTTCTATTTTTTAGTAGAGATGGGGTTTCACCATGTTAGCCAGGATGGTCTCGATCTCCTGACCTCGTGATCTGTCCACCTCGGCCTCCCAAAGTGCTGGGATTACAGGCGTGAGCCTCCGCGCCAGGCCAGTGAGACCCTGTCTTTAAAAAAAAAAAAATCCTACACATTCCTGCTTCAGTACACAAGTTTCTCATCCTCTCCAAAGAAAACATTCATTTACATTAATCCTTCTACCAAAATGTTACAAAGTGCTTTCCACAAGACACTTTGTATATTAGTGAGATACAAATTATAGCCCCAAGTAGCTTACAGTCTCATGAGAAAAACAGATTTTTTTTTTTTTGAGATGGAGTCTTGCTCTGTTGCCCAGGCTAGAGTGCAGTGACGTGATCTCGGCTCACTGCAACCTCCACCTCCCAGGTTCAAGTGATTCTCCTGCCTTAGCCTCCTGAGCAGCTGGGATTACAGGCGCCCACCACCACACCCGGCTAATTTTTGTATTTTTAGTAGAGACGGGGTTTCACCATGTTGGCCAGGCTGGTCTCGAACTCCTGACCTTGTGATCCTTGGCCTCCCAAAGTTCTGGGATTACAGGCATGAGCCACTGCACCGGGCCGAAAACAGATATTTTAAAGGTATTCCAATATAAGATAATGAATGTTGTAAGATGGGTGATCAGAGGCTGCTGCAGGAACCCGGATGGGGGCTGGGACCTCAGTATTTGTAAGGTGGTAGTGATAAACCACGACTTCCCTGAGGAAATAATGCTTGACTTAACTAGTCTGTAAATATTCGTGGGAGAAAGGACATTCTAGGCAAAGGCATAATGTGCACTAAGGGAAGAGGAAGTCCTGTGTATGCAGGTTATTTGTTATGGCCGGAACTTAGACATGTGGGGAAGTAGCAAGAAATGAGACCAGATGCATAGACAAGAGGCCATGATTAAGAGCTCCTGCTAAGGACTCTGAATTGTACCCTGTAAGCCAAATGGCTTCCAAAGTGGCTTGGCAGAAAGAGTTTACAAACCTCTGTCATTAACAGTTGCTTAGCTAAGAAAACTCTTCCTTTTTTCTCCCCTTTTTCATCTTCATTTGTAACCACTTCTTTTGTTTGTTTGTTTGTTTATTTGTTTTTGAGATGGAATTTTGCTCTTGTTTTCCAGGATGGAGTAAAATGGCACCATCTCGGCTTACTGCAACCTCCACCTCCCAGGTTCAAGTGATTCTCCTGCCTCAGCCCCTCGAGGAGTGTGCCAATATGCCCAGCTAATTTTGTACTTTTAGTAGAGACGAGGTTTCACCATGTTGGCCAAGCTAGTCTTGAACTCCTGACCTCAGGTGATCCACCTACCTCGACCTCCCAAATTGCTGGGATTACAGGCATTGAGCCACTGCACCTGGCTGTAAGCCCTTCTTTTTAAGCTTCATTTAATCTTCAATGTCTTGGCACAGATTCCTAATGCTTGAAGTAAAAGGTTTCAGATGCACTGGTTTCTCAACAGTGTTAAGGCAAAGAAATGGCTGTTGAAGTAGTATTTATTCAAACTGCAAAGCTATTTAGATCAAGTTTGTGGTTTCCAACATGATTTAGTAACAGCCAACACTTACAGAGCACATTCTAGAGCATGGTGCTAAGTGCTTTTATTTCAATTACCTCCTTTACTCTTCATAATACCCCATGAAAGAGTACTATTATTATCATGATTGTTAAGAATAAAAAGCTGTTATTTAAACTGGTTGAATAATGAGCCCAAGTTCAAATAGTGAGTAAATGTTGGAATCAGAGTTTGAACTCATGCAGTCTGAGTGCACAGCTGCCTGTTCCTTGCTTCCTGACCTGGTCATTTCTGTCATCTTTCAAAAACCTTGGGTCCTTTGGACTCATTCTTTCTCCCTACACTCCCACAGCTCTTCAGAATCACCGCTGGTGTCCAATTCTGTCCCCTTTCATTCACTAAAGGTTTTGGCTCCTTCCTGTCTCTTTTTTTTTTTTTTTTTGAGACAGAGGTTTGCTCTGTTGCCCAGGCTGGAGTGCAGTGGCGCGGTCTTGGCTTACTGCAACCTCCGCCTCCCAGGTTCAAGCGATTCTCTTGCCTCAGCCTCCCGAGTAGCTGGGATCTTACTGTCTACTTTGCAGAATTTTTTTTTTTTTTTGAGACGGAGTCTTGCTGTCGCCCAGGTTAGAGTGCAGTGGCATGATCTTGGCTCAGTGCAACCTCTGCTTCCCAGGTTCAAGTTAGTCTCCTGCCTCAGCCTCCCAAGTAGCTTGGACTACAGGCCTGTGCCACCACGTCTGGCTACTTTTTTGTATTTTTAGTAGAGATGGGGTTTCACCATGTTGGCCAGGCTGGTCTCGAACTCCTGGCCTCAAATGATCTGCCCGTGTCGGCCTCCTGAAGTGCTGAGATTACAGGCTTAAGCTACCACACCTGCCTAATTTTTGTATTTTTAGTAGAGGCAGGGTTTCACCATGTTGGCCAGGCTGGTCTCAAACTCCTGATCTCAAGTGATCCGCCCGCCTTGGGCTCCCAACATGCTGGGATTACAGGCATGACCCACCACACCCGGCCTCTTTGCAGCTTTTATTTACTCCAGTCTGTCCATCTTCCCCATCCACACTCATGCATTCCTCCTTTCCCTTCACCTCCCTCCTCGCCCAGCTTAGGTTCCATGATCCTCCATTCTAATCATTCTCTTGCAAACACCCTCGATTCCCTTACTCTTTGTCTGTCATTACCATCATGAAAAAAAAAAAAAAGCCCAACTGTGATTAAACCTAACTTTCCATATCTTCTGGAGAAACTGGCATGTGCCAGCGGGGTGCGGTGGCTCACGCCTGTAATCCCAGCACTTTGGGAGTCCGAGGTGGGCGGATCACCTGATATCAGGAGTTCGAGACCAGCCTGGCCAACATGGTGAAACCCTGTCTCCACTAAAAATACAAAAAAATTAGCCAGGCGTGGTGTTGGGCACCTGTAATCCCAGCTATCAGGACGCTGAGGCAGGAGAATTGCTTGAACCCAGGAGGCAGAGATTGCAGTGAGCTGAGATCCCACTCCACCCTGGGTGACAAGATTGAGAATCTGTCTCAAAAAAAAAAAAAAAGAAAAGAAAAAAACAAAGAAACTGGCATGTGAGGCTGGATAGTTTTAGTTTCCTTTTTTTTTGATATGGAGTTTCCATCTTGTTGCCCAGGGTGGAATGCAGTGGCATGATCTCACTCAGTGCAACCTCCACCTCCCAGGTTCAAGTGATTCTCCTGCCTCAGCCTCCTGGTTAGCTGACACTACAGGTGCTCACCACCATGCCTGGCTAATTTTTGTATTTTTAGTAGAAATGGGGTTTCACCATATTGGCCAGGTTGGTCTCAAACTCCTGACCTCAGGTGATGCACCCACCCGCCTCGGCTTCCCAAATTGCTGGGATTACAGGCGTGAGCCACCGTGCCTGGCTCTGGTTTTACTTTCAACTCATGACCTCAGAGCTGAAGGAGCTGCTCAGCATAACCTGGAAATCCCTAAGGGGCAGCTCACTGGCTTTCAACACTCTTCAGTCTCTCTCACATTTTCTCTTCTCTTTTCAAACCTGCCCAACTGTCTCCCTCATCTCACTCTTAGCTGATGACCGTGCCTCAAATTTCACTGAAAAATTGTAATGATTAAGAACGAAATCCAGGGCCAGGTGTGGTGGCTTACTTGTGTAATACCAGCACTTTGGGAGGCCCAGGCGGGTGGATCACTTGATGTCAGGAGATCGAGACCAGACTGGCCAACATGGAGAAACCCAGTCTCTACTAAAAATACAAAATTAGCCGGGCATGGTGGCGGGCGCCTGTAATCCTAGCACTTTGGGAGGCTGAGGTGGGTGGATTGCCTGAGCTCAGGATTTCGAGACCAGCCTGGGCAACACAGTGACACCCCATCTCTACTAAAATACAAAAAATTAGCCAGGCGTGGCGGTGTGCATCTGTAGCCCCAGCTACTGGGGAGGCTGAGGCAGGAGAATTGCTTGAACCCGGGAGGCAGAGGTTGCAGTGAGCTAAGATCGTGCCACTGGACTCCAGCCCGATGACAGAGTGAGACTCTATCTCAAAAAAAAAAAAAAAAATTAACTGGGTGTGGTGGCACATCCCTGTAGTCCCAGCTACTCGGGAGGCTGAGGCAGGAGAATCACTTGAACCTGGGAGGTGGAGGTTGCAGTGAGGCAAGATCGTGCCACTGCACTCCAGCCTGGGCGACAGAGCGAGATTCTGTCTCAAACAAATCAACAATCAAACAAAAAAACCCCCACATATCCTCTTTTATCTGTCATGTAAAAATACCAAAAATATACAAAAGTAAAAGGTGCAAAACCAAACAGATTCCTCCCTTTTCTCACATTTTCCTATGGCTACATTTTTCTGCTGCTCTTCTCAACATAATTTCTCAAATATTACTCCACTGTTTCCATCTCCAACTTAGTGTTCAACCATTCCAATCTGTCCCCACCACGTCACTGACCTGCATCTGCAAGGTAAGCATTCGTTCCCGCATTGTTAATGCAACAAGCACTTCTCTGTCCTCATGTTCTTCGCTGTCCTAGTAACACAGAAGACAGCTTCCCACTTTTCCTTTCTTGAAGCACCTCTTTTCTTGGCTTTCATGACGCCACACTCTCCTGGTTTTCCCTTTCTTTATTCAGTCTCCTTTTTAGATATTTAACCTCTGTATATGGAAGTTTCTCAGGGCTGAGTCCTGGACCTTTTTCTTTTGCTGCAGTTTCTTGGGTGATCCCATCGATTCTTTTTTTTTTTTTTTTTGAGACGGAGTCTTGCTCTTGTTGCCCAGGCTGGAGTGCAGTGGCACCATCTCGGCTCACTGCAACCTCTGCCTCCCGGGTTCACGCCATTCTCCTGCCTCAGCCTCTGGAGTAGCGGGGACTACAGGCGTTCGCCACTATGCCTGGTTAATTTTTGTATTTTTAGTAGAGATGGGGTTTTGTCATGTTGGCCAAGCTGGTCTCAAACTCCTGACCTCAAGTGATCTGCCTTACTCGGCCTCCCAAAGTGCTGGGGTTACAGGCGTGAGCCACTGTGCCTGGCCTGAACCCATCCATTCTTATGGCTTTAAATACTGTCTGTTCGGATGACTTTCAAAATTTCATCTCTAGGCTGGAGCTCTCCCCTGTGTTCCAAGTGCCCATTTGACATTTCTAGCTGCATAACCAGGAACTTCCAATTCTCCAGGTTTTACCTCAAATTTTAAATCATTCAAGAGCCTTTTCCTGACTATAAAGCAGCCTCCCTCTTCCCTCTCTCCTGTTACTCTGCATGATGTTACCCTTTTTCCCTTTGAGCATTTATTCTAACCATCACAGTTTTTATCTGTTTATTTACGATCTACCTCCTGCATTAGATTGTAATCTCATTCATTGGACTTTCACTGCTTGCCAAGTGCTGTTCTAAGTACTTTATAAGTCTTATCATTTTATTTATTTATTTATTTATTTATTTTTTGAGAGGGAGTCTCGCTTTGTTGCCCAGGCTGGAGTGCAGTGGCGCAATTTTGGCTCACTACAACCTCCGCCTGCTGGGTTCAAGCAATTCTCCTACCTCAGTCTCCCGAGTAGTGGAGATTACAGGCGCCCGCCACCATGACCGGCCAATTTTTGTATTTTAGTAGAGGCAGGGTTTCACCATGTTGGCCAGGCTAGTCTCGAGCTCCTGACCTCAGGTGATCCACCCGCCTTGGCCTCCCAAAATGCTGGGATTACAGGTGTCAGCCATAGCGCCCGGCCAAGCCAATATTAATTTACTTTTTTGACTAGCCACATTAAAAGCTTGAAAAATAAAACAGGTTAATCTCACATTGCTTGTGTTCTGTTTTGGTGGAATTCAGAGAAGCCAGTGTTAGTGAACTGATTTTCATCTTACAGTTCCACAAGAAATTCCAACATGATTTGGTAATAAGTACTAATACGTTTCGTATGTTTATATTTGTTTAAATGCACCCTCAATACTTACATTTCTTTTCTTTTTTTATTTTTTGAGACAGAGTTTCGCTCTTGTTGCCCAGGCTGGAGTACAATGGAGTGATCTCGGCTGCCTGCAACCTCCGCCTTCTGGGTTCAACGATTCTCCTGCCTCAGCCTCCCGAGTAGCTGGGATTACAGGCGCACACCACCAAGCCTGGCTAATTTTATATTTTTAGTAGGGACAGGGTTTCACCATGTTGGCCAGGCTGGTCTCGAACTCCCGCCCTCAGGTGATCCGCCCGCCTTGGCCTCCCAGTGTTGGGATTACAGGCGTGAGCCATCACGCCCGGCCGATGCTTATATTTCATATTGAAGGGACACACCTCAACACATTTACTTTTGGAAACTGTTAAGCAGATAGAGGGAACGCTGAAAAAATTTCTACCAGAGATATACCAAGAGGTGGGTATTTTTTAAAAAGCAGCTTAAACTAGGTTAGTTAAACATCGGCTTCTAAAAGATCAAAGCTGGATTTCCTCATGGAACAGAACACTCCCAGTTCTCTGAGGTCAGTGGGCAGAGGCTGTAGTTATAGCTGGTTGGCTTCATCTGATGCATTTTTCTTTTCCTTAAACTCAGGATTTGTCCTGCTCCGTAATTGTAATCTCTTTGCCTGGCCTTTGCTTTCGTCTGTGAAGCTGCCACTAGGTAGGTTTTAAGTAGGGAGTAGTATCGTGTAGGTCTAAATAAAAACTAAATAGTTTCATTCTCTTTTTTCCCCATATAGAACAGTTCTGTCAATTGGAGCAGGCAAAAATAACAATGAACATTTTTGAGACTTTTCTCAAAAATTCATCTTGAGAATGTATTTTCAGAAAATCATGAAGTTTGAATTATTATCCGAATAAAAAAATGATGGCCTCTTCAGAGCGGGGTGTTTTTTCTAGTTAAGAGATTACAATGATATTCCCACATCAGGCTTTTGGTGGCTAGCTTGACATCTGTCTTTGGAAGTAAAATGATTGGCAGCATTCTCAGTTTATGTAAAAGTTTGCATAGAGACATAGCAGAAAGAACTTGGGTTTTTGGAGTTAGATTTGAGAATACTAGATAGTATACTTATTAGTTTTGTGATAGTAAATTCATCTGACTCTATTTTTATAAAATGGTGATTGCGATGAACTAAAATCACAAATGTGAAATAGCAAATTCTCAACAAAAAGGCCCTCCTGTTTTTTGATTTTAGGTGATTTCCTTTTAACACCTGATTAAAGACAAAGGTTGACTTGATTTAGGATGAGAAGGATTTATTATATTTATTAACAAAGAGGTAAAGCTTTTTTCTTTCTTTCTTTTCTTTCTTTTTTTTTTTTTTTTTGAGGCAGAGTCTCACTCTGTTGCCCAGTCCAGAGTGCAGTGGCGCTATCTCGGCTCACTGCAACCTCTGCTTCCCGGGTTCTAAGTGATTCTTCTGCCTCAGCCTCCCGAGTAGCTGGGATTACAGGCGCTCGCCACCACATTTGGCTAATTTTGTATTTTTAGTGGAGACTGGGTTTCACCATATTGGGGCCAGGCTGGTCTGGAACTCCTGACCTCAGGTGATCCACCAGCCTCGGCCTCCCAAAGTACTGAGATTACGGGCATGAGGCACCGCACCAGCCAGAAGTAAAGCTTCTTAAGGTAATCCCATGAAATGGGAAAAGGAAACCTTGAAGAGAAGCGTGGGTGGCTATCACCAATATGGTATTTGGGGCAGTTCTCATAATTGTTTATCAATGCTGCAGAATAGCAGTATTCATCTTTCTCTTTTTTTTTTTTGAGACGGAGTCTCCCTCTGTCGCCCAGGCTGGAGTGCAGTGGCGCAAACTCGGCTCACTGCAAGCTCTGCCTTCCCGGTTCACGCCATTCTCCTGCTTCAGCCTCCGGAGTAGCTGGAACTACAGGCACGTGCCACCACGGCCGGCTAATTTTTTTTGTATTTTTAGTAGAGACGGGGTTTCACCGTGTTAGGCAGGATGGTCTCGAACTCCTGACCTTGTGATCCGCCCGCCTCGGCTTCCCAAAGTGCTGGGATTACAGGCGTGAGCCACCGTGCCCGGCCTTCATCTTTCTCTTTCACTATCCTTTAAATGACTGACCTATGTGTAGTGTATAAAAAATATATATTTTTAAATACAGGAAGCAGCAACACTCAGTATGAGAGGATAATTTGCGTGCTAAGAGTAAATGGGGAAGCAAACAGTAAATAGAGGCAAATGGGCAAAGGTTGAGTCATAGGGAACCTGGACTTGCCTCAAGTATTTGTGGTTGGTAGTAGTTCATTACGTGGGCTTGGGCACCAGGTGGGGCCCCCTCAAGTCAAGCAAACGTCAAGACCAGTTTCGCACCCTTGTTCCTCTAGCTCCGGACCAGCCAGAGCCACCTACTCGGATCATGTTGGCAGAACCCAGTACTGTTTCGAGGCCAGATGCACCATTTCAGCAATTCAGGAGGAAATAAGCAGTGTGGATAAACTGATACCCATTTTTGAAAGTCGGCCTGGGTTCGCATTCAGAAGAAATGTCGACGCTAGCCATTTTTTTTTTAAAATGGGTGATTTGATAACTCAGGGAAGTCTTGCCACTGTAATTTTTAAAAGTTTGCTTGCTAGAACCAGGTACTTTCTAAGAAGTGTATGGAAAAAGCCTTGATTCTTCTTCGCCCTGGGTGGTTTTTACGTCGAACACCTAGAAGTGCTTCTGGAAATCCCCCCGCAGGACTTTCGATGTCTTTTAGGGCATTCTTAAGACTAGACCCATTCCTAAGCGACTCCCACCTCCCAAACCAGCCATATGGTTTAGTTTCTCCAGTTTCCAATTTTCTAAATCTTCAACGTCTCCCCTCGAATTAGTCCAATCAAACTTTCTCTTCTTAGACCTCTTCCTTAGGTTCGCACCAGGAAACGCCCAGGAGAATCACGTGGCCGGGCTTGTCCTTAATGGCGCTCCGTAACCCTCCCACTATTCCACCACACTTCCTCGCCTCCCGTGAGCTCCGCCCCGCCCCATTCGCGCTTCCCACCCCCATCCCCCGCGAAGCGCCTGCGCCTGCGCAGCTCCAATTCAGGCGCTTTCCCTTTCCTGGCGACCAATCCACTTCCTGCCTCGGGTCCTCGGAACACTCCACCCCTCCGCTGGGGCCCTGGTTTGAGGTGCTGGTAGTGGCTACCTTACGTATTGCCAGTCTGAAAAATTCGCTCTTCTCATCGACTGGGGAATTTGAAAGAGCTGTTAAGTGAATGGCACTCATATGAGCCTTTGCCCCGGACCCGCCACCCCAGAGTCAAGCTGAGGGCATCGGCATGCCGCAGGGAAGACGATCAGGACTGTTTTTAATCGGGCAGTCGCGCGGATGGCCTTTTCCCTCTCGCCTCCTTCCGCCCCGCCCCCACTCTCAGCCCGGCCGCGCTGGTGAGTGGCGGGCGGGAGGGCTGGCGGGCGGAGGGAGGAGGGGGAGCTGAGGGAAGGCGGGCCCTCGGCTGCGAGATAGGTGGGGGGAGGGGAGGGGAGAGCCCGAGCGCTGGAGTTGGTGCTGGGAAACCCGGGGCTAATGTTGACAACAGGCTCGAGGTGAGTCCCGGGGATCCTCCTTCCCCTCCGCTCCAACGATCGGGAGGAAATGGGGCTGGGGGGCACCGGCCTAGACTCCTACTCCCTGGGGGACCCCAGAGGCGACTCCACACTCCAGCTCTCCGGGGTCGGCGAGCAGTGGAGGGACCGCGGGTCCGGCGTCGTTCTCCTCAGACCCCCTGTCTCCGAGGCTCCCATCAACGCGGGAGCCCCCGGGCCGGGCCATGCTTGGGGGGCGGTGGAGGAGGTGCCTGCCCCACATGCCTGGGCCGGGCCTCGAGACTGGAGGCGGGGAGCCCGCGGTGGAGGGGCGAAAGTGTTCGGGGGCGTGGAGGAGAGCGAGGGGAGGTCGGGGGAAGCTCCTCGAGAGCCGGGAGGGAAGCGAGGGCGAGAAAGTGGGGAGGGCGCGTGTGTGGGAGGCTGCGGAGTGGGGAGACCGGCCGGGAAGGCTTCTGTGGCGAGGGAGTGTGGGGCGAGAAGTTGGGGTTGGGGCAGCGATGGTCCGCGAAGGTGACCGTGGATACCTGTGGGAAGGGGAGTTGTGTCGGGGAAGTGTGGTGGGTTTAGAGGTTCCTACACCACCAGAGCAGGGGTTTGTAGGAGAGGTATGTGTAGGGGAAGGGGCTTGGGGTGTATCTGGGGATGGTGGGCATGGGCTGTTTGGTTGACTTCCTTTTAATCACATAGGCTGGTTGATTCTTCACTTTACCTTCACCTCTTCAAGGCGCCAAGCACTCTCTTCTTGCTAGGACTGTTGGACTAAGGAAGTGATCACAGGATATTTGGTCCCCAGGTTGGCAGAGCAGAGCCAGCTGGGTCCACGCTGGGGTGATCGGACCTTCAGCTCTCTTGCTCATCTTAGAGGACTTACACGACACGAAACGATGCATCAGATCAAAGTGAAACCCTCGCTGACGCTTTATCTCATTTCCATAGTTCTTAGGTGTTCCTTAACATCGTCAGTCTCCTCATTTGTGAGCTGGTACAATTTCTAACAGTTCTTAATACGTCCTTTATACTAAGGATGTTCTTTAAAAAATAAAGTCAGAAACTGGGAGATAGTGTTCCTGTGCTGTTCTGTCCTGACAGCATTTTGAATAAGAGAATTGAAAGGTAAAACCGCATTCTCTCATACTGGAGTGTTTTCGGAGCACTCTGATTGGGATTTCATACATAATCCATATGGTACTTTGCAAGGGAATGTCTTTAAAAGGGAAACACCCCCTTTTGTGCCCTCTTCCCCCCAATACACTCCATTGGTACTTCTAGTAAATTAGTTTTACTTTCTTTTGGAAGTTCAGAATGTATTTAGAATACCAAATAAAATATACAGTTCAAGTGACAGGACACTATTTTGGGAGCTAGGAAGGTGGTTTTAAAGCATGGTTTCCTTTTAAGGGTAGTCTGAATATAATTGTATTCAGCAAACTAATTTGTAACAGCTAATCGGATTCCAGTGAAAAGATCACGACTTTTTCTCCTCACTATCTTGAGAAAGGACCTATTTAAAATTGTATTTGGACTTGAAAAACTTTTGGAAACACTTTAGATGAAAAGTTTGGCTGTTAAAGCTTGAAGTTATTGAAATAAGAATTTTAGCATTTTATTAAATATCACTTAGTGCTCAGTTTTTTAAGTCGACATAAAACAAACGTGTATTGAGGTGAATCACGGTGTTTGTATATTTTATTCGTTTTAGTGTAGGTAGTGAAAAAGCACTGGGTAGTGAGTGTTGGTCCAGCCACGGAAACTAGCTGTATATATAATCTTGGGTAGGTGACTCTGCTGCTATCCTTGGAATGTAAAAATTGAGGATAGAAGTAGATAAAATCTAATAGTCTTTATCTGACTTTACAAATCTTTCATTGTATGCTGAACTTCTCAGTGTTCTTTGTGACAGAACATTTATTAATGCCTCCCTCATGCTAGTTACTATGCTAGAATTTTAAGAACTCTACAAGATAGATAGCAGTATATCCATCTTATTGATAAATAAGTGGACTCAGAGAAGTTGTTGCCTGATTTCTGTAGCTATCAGGCTGCAGAGTTGGGATGCAGATTTAAAATCAGTCCGACTTCCAAGCCCATGTATGTTGTTTTCACAAGTTGCATTGCTGCCTCTTCATGAACTTCTAGATTTTTGTCTTTTTTTTTTGTTTACGGAAATTTAGTCGCAAGTATACTTTGGGCGTATGCTTGTAATGTAAGGATGAAGTGGTTGAAAGGAGATACCAGTATCAGGACTTAAGGGTTTTACGGAGAATCTGTTTTATTATGTTCTAGGGTACAGTCTAATCCTTTTTTTTGTTTTGTTTTTTGTTTTTTGTTTTTCTTGAGACGGAGTCTGGCTTTGTCGCCAGGCTGGAGTGCAGTGGTGCCATCTTGGCTCACTGCAACCTCCGCCTCCCGGGTTCAAGTGATTCTCCTGCCTCAGCCTCCTGAGTAGCTGGGACTACAGGCGTGTGCTGCCACGCCCAGCTAATTTTGGTGTTTTTAGTAGAGATGGGGTTTCACCATGTTGTTGGCCAGGATGGTTTCGAACTCTTGACCTCGTGATCTACCTGCCTCGGCCTCCCAAAGTGCTGGGATTACAGGCATGAGCCACCATGCCCAGCCCCGAGTCTAATTCTTGCATGCCTACTGCAGCTTTATTTCTTATACTAAGTACTTAAAATTTAATGAAGACATGAATCTTATTAAAGAGTCATGAAAGTTTGGGACTTTGTTGAACTAATAAATGATGATCTTTGTGAATTTGTCAGATACTACATGAATTTCTTAATCTTTTCTTTGAAAAATTTAAGATGTTATTTTATCTTCAGAATGAGACATGCTGCCAGCCACAGTGGCTCATGCCTGTAAATCCCAGAACTTTGGGAGGCCAAGGCAGGCAGATCACCTGAGGTCGGGAGTTTGAGACCAGCCTGACCAACATGGAGAAACCCCATCTCTACTAAAAATACAAAATTAGCCGGGCATGGTGGCACATGCCTGTAATCCCAGCTACTCGGGAGGCTGAGGCAGGAGAATGACTTGAACCCGGGTGGCAGAGGTTGTGGTGAGCCGAGATCGTGCCACTGCACTCCAGCCTGGCGACAGAGTGAGACTCCATCTCAAAAAAAAAAAAAAAAAGAGAGAGAGAGAGACATAATTGTAAGTTCTGATGCCATTCTTTGTAGTGTCCTGTGGTCCTGAAATGTTACTTGTTGATGCGTCACATCAGAAAATGTGAAATCTATATAAACTTTTTTCACTTAATGATTAATATCCTTCAATAAGATCATGTTATTACCTTAGATATTAAATTGTCCCCATATGTTTCAGCCAGAGTCTGCTAAAAGTTAAAAACATTACATGAGAACTCCTTAACCATTATGAAGGATTCTTTCTACTCTTGAGATTCATAATTCTGTGGGTTGCTATAGTCAGTATTTACCAGCATGTCTCCCATCTCACAATTTGGTACTCTTAGGATTCTTTGGTTCAGAGAATGGGTTCAGATTCCCATTCTGTCACCAGCTGTGCAGGCCTTGGTCAAGTTACTTGGTCAAGTCTCAGTTTACTCATTTATAAAATAGGGAAAATAATACCCACCTCATAAAGATTTTAGTATTAAATGAGATAATATACGTAAAATGTTTAGTATGGTACCATGAGTAGTGTATTAGTATTATAGTCTTTTTGAAAGTTTGCTTGCTTTAAGGGCGTGATGTTTTCACATTAAAGTTGGATATTTAATTGAAAATGTATAAGAATCAATAACTACACTTCTAGATAATAGAAATGCTGCCCGGGTATAGTGGCTTATACCTGTAATCCTAGCACTTTGGAAGGCCGAGGCGGGAGGATGGATCCCTTGAGCCCGGGAGTGTGAGACCAGCCAGGGCAACGTACTGAGACCTTGTCTCTATTTTATTAAAACAGTTTTTTTTTAAATTAAAAAAATAGATAATATAAATGCTAATGTTGTCTTGGCATAGAAATGCTTTTTCTTTTGTTGTTGTTGTTGTTTTTTTTTGTATTTTTGAGACGGAGTCTCCGTCTTTTGCCCAGACTGGAGTGCAGTGGCGCTATCTCGGCTTACTGCAGCCTCCGCCTCCCGGGTTCAAGCGATTCTCTTGCTTCAGCCTCCCGAGTAGCTGGGATTACAGGCACCCTCCACCATGCCTGTTTAATTTTTGTATATTTAGTAGAGACGGGGCTTCCACATGTTGGCCAGGCTGGTCTTGAACTCATGACCTCAAGTGATCTGCCTGCCTTGGCTTCCCAAAGTGCTGGGATTACAGGAGTGAGCCATGGTGCCCAGCCTGCTTTTTCATATATTAAAGGTAATTTGTGTGTGTGTGTGTGTGTGTGTGTGTGTGTGTGTGTGTGTGAGATGGAGTCTCACTCTGTCGCCCATGCTGGAGTGCAGTGGCATGATCTTGGCTCACTGCAACCTCTGCTTTCTGGGTTCAAGCAGTTCTGCCTCAGCCTCCCCAGTAGCTGGGATTACAGGCGCCTGCTACCACGCCCAGCTAATTTTTGTATTTTCAGTAGAGATGGGGTTTCACCATGTTGGCCAGGCTGGACTCAAACTCCTGACTTCAGGTGATCCGCCCACCTTGGCCTCCCAAATTGCTGGGATTACAGGCATGAGCCACCGCACCCAGCCCCTAATGACGATTTTAAAAATAGGCCCAATAGCTTTTTTGTTGTTGTTGTGAGTTTTACCAGTGGGGTTAACTACAGCTATTAGGTGTCACTGTCAAAATAAATGCATAGAACAAGGGAGTGGAGAGCAATGAGGGAGTAAAAGAAAAAGGAGAAGGAAAAAGGTAGTTATGAGAAGGTACAGGCTGTGGCATGTACCTGCAAAAATTAAAGTGTTTCTGTTGGTCTAGGTTGCTTTCTGTGAAATTAACATTTTAATAGAGTACTGAAGTAAAGTATTTTTGTATTTAAAAAATATCAATATTACAAATGCTTTTTTTGGTAACCTAGTTTTAAGTGCTGTAATTTAAAACCTATATTTGAAAATATTTAAGGATACTATTGCTTTTAATAAAAAAAAACGAAGGGCTGGCCGGGCACTGTGGCTCATGCTTGTAATCCTGCACTTTGGGAGGCCAAGTCAGATGGATCACTTGAGGTCAAGAATTCAAGCAGCCTGGCCAATATGGTGAAACCCATCTTTACTAAAAATACAAAAATTAGCTGAGTGTGATGGCACACACTTATAATCTCAGGTACTTGGGAGGCTGAGGTGGGAGGTTCACTTAAACCCGGAAGGTGGAGGTTGCAGTGAGCCGAGATCACACCACTGCACTCCAGCCTAGGCAACAGAGCGAGACTCAAAAAAAAAAAAAAAAAGAAAAACAAAAACACTAAAGCTCAAAAACACAGTGGCTCATACCTGTAATCCCAGCACTTTGGGAGGCCCAGGTGGATGGATCACTTAAACTCAGGATTTCGAGACCAGCCTAGTCAACATGGGGAAATCCCATCTCTACTAAAAATACAATTACCTGGATGTGGTGTTGAGCACCTACTGTTCCAGCTACTTGGGGGGCTGAGGCAGGTGGGTCACTTGAGCCTGCGAGGTCGAGACTTCAGTGAGCTGTGATTGTGCCACTGCACTCCAGCCTGGGCGACAAAGTGAGACCCTGTTTCAAAAAGAAAACATAAAACTAAGAAATTTAGGTAATTTTCTACCTCTAAAATAGAATTTTGATTTTCTTTTTTTTCTTGAGGCGGAGTTTTGTCCTTGTTGCCCAGGCTGGAGTCCAATGGCGTGATCTTGGCTCATTACAACCTCCGCTTCCCGGGTTCAAGCCATTCTCCTGCCTCAGCCTCCCGAGTAGCTGGGATTACAGGCATGCGCCACCATACCCGTCTAATTTTATATTTTTAGTAGAGACGAGATTTCTCCATGTTAGTCAGGTTGGTCTCGAACTCTCGACTTCAGGTAATCTGCCTGCCTTGGCCTTCCAAAGTGCTGAGATTATAGGCATGAGCCACTGTGCTTGGCCGAATTTTGATTTTCTTATATACAACTCTTAGATAATTTAGGAGTTAAAACGTGAAACACCATGCCTAAAAGAAATTAGACAACTAGTTCTGAGTAGAGAAATATATTTTTAGAAAAGAAAAATTCAGAATTTTCCTGCAAAGTATAGTTTTTTGTTCCACAGTTACTTTCAGTTAACTATAAGCCTGTACTATAGGCCAATGCTATCCAATAGAACTTTCTGTGGAAATGTTCTGTATCTGCCCTGCTGTGTATGGAAGCCATTAGTCACATGTGGAATTGAGCACTTGAAATACAGATACTGACTGAAGAACTGAATTTCAAATTTTATTTAATTTTAATTAATTTACATTTAAGTAACCACATATGACTAGTGCAGCAGTTTTTGGGTGATAATTTTTTCTCCGACGGATATTTAGCAATGTCTGGAGTTATATTTGGTTGTCAAAATGAGGGAGGAGCTACTTGTATGCACTGCATAGCAGGCAGGGACACTGCTAAACCTCCTACAGAGCACATGGTGACCCCTTTCCTCTAAAACCAAAGGAGTATTTTGCCCAAACTGTCAATGGTGCTGAACTTTAGAAACCCTGGGCTAATAGCTACTCTGTATTGACAGATATAGCACAGAACATACGGATTTTAGGTTCATGTTTATTTATAAATTAACTTTAACTAATACAGATGAAGAAGTTAAAAGTCTAGTTTAATTTGAGATAGTTAACAGTTTTTGTATCTGAAAGTTTGATGATAAGGTTAGAGCAATGAAGTGAGATTCGTGAGTCCGCTGTTCTGTTTTGTCCGTTGACATATAGGAGGCAAGGGCTTGTTTTTGTTTCCTTTCTCAGCTGAAATACTGACATTGAATATTATATGAAATAGTGAACTGCCATCTTTCATGGTTGTCAAATGCTAGGGTTAAAGCTGACTCAAAATGTTCACAGATATATTCTGAAGTATTTACAATTAAATGACATATTGTTTTGGAGTTGATAGTGGCTGAATCTGAGTGATGGGTACGTGGAGGTTCCTTATATTATGCTCTCTACTTTTGTCTGGGCTTGGATTTTTCCTTATAAAAAGTAAAAAACAAGTACTTAGACATAGGCCTAACTAATAATGATAGGATGTGGAATGTGATGAATAACTTATTTTGTAACAGAAATAGTATTCATTTTACCTGCCTTTATTTACTCTTTTACAATTGCCAAGTTGCATTAATATGTTCTGTTTAAAAAAATAGTGTGATATCATTTTAAAAAGTCACTGCATCTATGGTACTGACATTCTTTCCCTCTTACAGATTGTCCTGGGTCACATAATGCCAGCTGAGCGTAAAAAGCCAGCAAGTATGGAAGAAAAAGACTCTTTACCAAACAACAAGGAAAAAGACTGCAGTGAAAGGCGGACAGTGAGCAGCAAGGAGAGGCCAAAAGACGATATCAAGCTCACTGCCAAGAAGGAGGTCAGCAAGGCCCCTGAAGACAAGAAGAAGAGACTGGAAGATGATAAGAGAAAAAAGGAAGACAAGGAACGCAAGAAAAAAGACGAAGAAAAGGTGAAGGCAGAGGAAGAATCAAAGAAAAAAGAAGAGGAAGAAAAAAAGAAACATCAAGAGGAAGAGAGAAAGAAGCAAGAAGAGCAGGCCAAACGTCAGCAAGAAGAAGAAGCAGCTGCTCAGATGAAGTAAGGCAGTTGATTGTATTTATTGATGTGAGGGAATGGGAAGATTGGAATATTTTGGGAAAAAAACATTATTTGAAATATAGCGTCCTGGGTGCAGCTCTTTAAGAATTGGGAGTATCTTAATTTACTTGTTCTGTTAGTTTCACTGACTAGAGGCATGCTTAAGGTGTGTTAATTATTCAAATTAAATAATAGTAACAATCTTTAATGAGTACTGTTTTGAGGTCCTGGGTAATCTTTTATTTATTTATTTTGAGACGGAATTTTGCTCAGTCGCCCAGACTGGAGTGCAATGGCACCATCTTGGCTCACTCCAACCTCCGCCTCCTGGGTTCAAGTGATTCTCCTGCCTCAGCCTCCCGAGTAGCTGGGATTACAGGCACCTGCCATCATGCCCAGCTAATTTTTGTATTTTTGTAGAGATGGCGTTTCACCATGTTGGCCAGGCTGGTCTTGAGCTCCTGACCTCAGGTGATCCGCCCGCCTCAGCCTCCCCAAAGTGCTGGGATTACAGGTGTGAGCCACCGCACCTGGCTGTTTATTTTTTAAAGACTTTTTTTCATACAAAATTAGTCAGGCATGGTGGCGCATGCCTGTAGTCCCAGTTACTCAGGAGGCTGAAGTAGGAGAATCGCTTGAACCTAGCAGGTGGAGGTTGCAGTGAGCCAAGACTGTGCCACTGCACTCCTGCCTGGGCAACAGAGCAAGACTGCATCTCAAAAAAAAAAAAATAAAATAATAAAATAAAAACTTTTTTTCATGGTATGATAGTACTCCATTTTTTAAAAAAATTGAAAACCTTCAGTTGGCTGATGTTTGTTGAGTTCTTATCTATCAGGCATTGTACAGAATATATTAGCATCTATCCTTAGGACAATCCCAGTGAAGTAAGTTTTATGATCCTCATTTTACAGATTAACAAAATGAAGCTTAAGGAGGGTAAGTTGCTTAAGGTCACAGCAAATAGTAGAGCTGTTGGGATTTAAAGCTAGGTTGGTCTGACTTTAAAACTTTTGACTATTCATTAAGCACAATTCCACAATGCCTTCCATTCTTATCTTTATTTAAATCTGTTTTTAAGCTTGTAAACCTGTGCAAGTAAATAATAAACTAGTGAAAAATGTAGTTCTTACAGGAGAAACACCAGAGATGCATCAGCAGTGACTACTGTTGAATAGCATAAGCTCTTCTCTAAATATAAAACTTATTAGGCCGGGCATGGTGGTTCACGCCTGTAAACCCAGCCCTTTGGGAGGCTGAGGCAGGAGGATTGGTTGAGCTCAGGAGTTCAAGACCAGCCTGGTCAATATAGCGAGACCCTGTCTCTATGAAGAAAAATAAGGGAAAGCATAAATATATAACTTATTTATTTTTAACTAAAAAAGTTTTTTTTTAATTTAAGAGGGCAACTTACCCTTTTTAAGCCTCATTTTATTGATCTCTAAAATGAGGCTTGTAGAATTTAACTTCATTGGTACTGTCTTAAGGATATTTGCTAATATATTTTGTACAGTGCCTGGTAACATAACAAGAGCTCAACAAACTCCAGCCAGGCTGGAGTGTAGTGGTACAATGCCAGCTCACTGCAGCCTTGACCTCCCAGGCTCAAGCCATCCTCCCACCACATCCTCCTTGGTAGCGGGAACTACAGGTGCGTGCCACCACACCTGGGTATTTTTGTACTTTTTGTAGATAGAGTTTCACCATGTTGCCCAGGCTAGTCTTGAACTCTTGGACTCAAGAAGTCCTCCTGCCTCAGCCTCCCAAAGTGTTGAGATTACAGGCATGAGCCACCATGCCTGGCCTAAAAAATCGTTTTTGGAAACGGTGTCTTTCTTTTTTTTCTAAGTTAGTCTGTAATTGCTGAGCTCAAGCGATCCTCCCACTACAGCCTCCCTAGTAGCTGGGACTACAGATGTACACTACTTTGCGTGGCCAAATATATAATTTAAAAACCTTTTTGCAAGCACGATTTTGTATAGATCTCTAGAACAGCCACCTTTCTTCTCAGAGTTGTTCTTTAGGACTTCTACTTTCTTCCCATTTTTGGGGGGGTGATGGTGGCATTGCTGTTGTTACCCAGGCTGGAGTGCAGTGGCTATTCTCAGGTTCCATCATAACGTACTGCAGTCTCCAACTCCTGTGCTCAAGTGATTCCTCCTGCCTCCTGAGTAGCTGTCATTACAGGCTCGTGCCACCACCCCTGGCCAGGACCTCTTTTAATAAGGAACAGAAGCCTTAGGTCTGCAAAGCTATAGTAGTGCCTAGTTTTGGAATATTCAGAACCATGATTCTTAAGAGAGTCTTTTTTTTTTTTTTTTGAGACAGGGTCTTGCTCTGTCACCCAGGCTGGAGTGCAGTGGCCTGGTCTTGGCTCACTGCGATCTCTGCCTTCTGGGCTCAAGTGATCCTCCCGCCTCTGCCTCTTGAGTAGCTGGGACTACAGATGCATACCACCATACTTGGCTAATTTTTGTATTTTTTGTAGAGACGGGGTTTTGCTGTGTTGCCCAGGCTGGTCTTGAACTCCTGAGCTCCTGGGAAAATTTCAGATATATGCAAAAATAGAATAGTATAGTGAACTAGTCCCCCATCTACCTAGCATCAATAATTACCCACTTTTTCCCCCTGGAGTATTGTAGAGCATCATAGCATTTACCCATAAAAACTTCGATATATAAGTGTTTTCAATGCAGCTGAAAATTGAGTTATTTAATGTATGTACATACTTTCTTTTCTTTTCTTTCTTTTTTTTTTTTTTGAGACAGAGTTGTTTCACTCTTGTTGCCCAGGCTGGAATGCAATGGCGCGATCTCGGCTCACCGTAACCTCCACCTCCCAGGTTCAAGCCATTCTCCTGCCTCAGCCTCCCGAGTAGCTGGGATTACAGGCATGTGCCACCATGCCCGGCTAATTTTTGTATTTTTAGTAGAGACAGTGTTTCTCCATGTTGGTCAGGCTGATCTCGAACTCCTGACCTCAGGTGATCCACCCGTTTTGGCCTCCCAAAGTGCTGGGATTACAGGCGTGAGCCACGGCACCCAGCCTTGTACATACTTTCTTAAAATGTACTTTCACTGCTCATTTTGTATTTGTGTGTTGCTGGGAGACTTCAAAGAGATACTCAACTGTCCATGTTCTCAGTGATAGAGGCCACCTTTCTGTTAATATATTGTAGCTTTTAATGGAAAAATCAAATAATTATCTTATAACTCAGGGGTGATTATCTCAGAAAGATGAAAATGTACTTTTTTAGAGATTTATAGATATGCGTATAACTTTTTGAGACAGGGCTCACTCTGTCACCCAGGCTGGAGAGCTATGGTGTGATCATGACTCACTGCAGCTTCAACCTCCTGGGCTCAAGCGATCCCCCCGTCTCAGCCTCCCAAGTAACTGGGACTACAGGCATGTGCCACCATGTCCAGCTAATTTTTAAAATTTTTTTGTAGAGATTGGGTCTTACTATGTTGCCCAGTCTGGTCTTAACTCCTGGGCTCTTCCCACCTCAGCTTCACAAAGTGGAGATTTAAGTTATGTGTTTTGTTATCTCAAAAACTTCAATAAACTTCAAAATCAGATTGTTGCCCCTCACTCGTGCCTATTTTATTACTTCTGCAATTTAAACTTGTTCTGTCTTTTTAGTGGAAAAATAGGTATATTTGTTTTTGGTTATTCTTTTCAGTATAAACTGAGTCTACTAGGTTTTTATTAAGTTTCTTATTTGATAGTTGTCTTCTGGTTCCTTTCCAAATTTTCTAAATCACTTGAATTTTTAAGAGCCCAAACATAGCAAGGTACTTTGTTAAAGGTTTGGCTAATGTGCTGAGGATGGAAAAACAATATCTAACATTGCAAAACTGTTTTGTTTTTTTTTTTTTTTTTGAGATGGAGTCTTGCTCTTTCGCCCAGGCCGGACTGCAGTGGCACTATATCGGCTCACTGCAAGCTCCGCCTCCCGGGTTCATGCCATTCTCCTGCCTCAGCCTCCTGAGTAGCTGGGATTACAGGTGCCTGCCACTGCGCCCGGCTAATTTTTTGTATTTTTAGTAGAGACGGGGTTTCACTGTGTTAGCCAAGATGGTCTCGATCTCCTAACCTCGTGATCCACCCGCCTCGGCCTCCCAAAGTGCTGGGATTACAGGCATGAGCCACCGTGCCTGGCCTTTTTTTTTGAGACAGAGTCTTGCTCTGTCACACAGGTTGGAGTGCAGTGGCATGATCTTGGCTCACGGCAACCTGCGCCTCCCGGGTTCAAGCAATTCTGCTGCCTCAGCCTCCTGAGTAGCTGGGACTACAGGCGCGTGCAACCATGCCCTGCTAATTTTTTGTTATTTTTAGTAGAGATGGCGTTTCACCATGTTAGTCAGGATGGTGTCGATCTCCTGACCTCGTGATCTGCCTGCCTCGGCCTCCCAAAGTGCTGGGATTACAGGCGTGAGCCACTGCCCAGGCCTCAAAACATTTTTAATGCATTCTTTTATAGTGCTAATTATTATTATTATTATTATTATTTTTTGAGGCAGAGTCTCGCTCTGTTGCCCAGGTTGGAGTGCAGTTGGGAGATCTTGGCTTACTGCAGCATCAGTCTCCGACTCCCAGGTTTAAGCAATTCTCCTGCCTCAGCCTCCCAAGTAGCTGAGATTACAGGTGCCCACCACCACGACTGGCTGATTTTTGTATTTTTAGTAGAGACG
Organism: Homo sapiens; assembly: GCF_000001405.40. Classification (NCBI taxonomy): domain Eukaryota; kingdom Metazoa; phylum Chordata; class Mammalia; order Primates; family Hominidae; genus Homo; species Homo sapiens. The sequence continues at coordinate 12,030,361 of NC_000010.11, read as the reverse complement.
GGGTTTCACCATGTTGGCCAAGCTGGTCTCGAACCCCTGACCTTAGGTGATCCACCCGCCTCCCAAAGTGCTGGGAGCCACCACATCTGGTCTTGTAGTGCTAATTCTTTAAATAATTCTTTGTGTATAATTGTTTTTTTTTCTCTTTGCCCATTGCTTTTATTTGTTTCACATTTTACATCCTTCCCAAACATACTATATTTTTCACAGTAGCATTATATGTCTTACCTAGTTAGCTTGCCAGTTGGCAGAATGATTTTTAATTTTAATCTAGTGTCAGTATCCTCTGCTCTATGACATTTGTTATCGACCTCCAGTACTGGGCTTCTCATTAAGATAATACTTGTTATCGTTAGTCGTTAGTAAAATGTCTTTATGTGTTTTTTTTTTGTTTTTTTTTTTTTGAGACGGAGTCTTGCTCTGTCGCCCAGACTAGAGTGCAGTGTCACGTTCTTGGCTCATTGCAACCTCTGCCTCTTGGGTTTAAGTGTTGTGCCTCAGCCTCCTGAATAGCTGGGACTACAGGTGAGCGCCATCACGCCCAGCTAATTTTTGTATTTTTAGTAGAGGTGGGGTTTCACCATATTGGCCACGCTGGCCTTGAACTCCTGACCTCAGGTGATCTGTCTGCTTTGGCCTCCCAAAGTGCTGGGATTACAGGCATGAGCCACCATGCCTGGCCAGTAAAATGTCTTTAAAAGTAGTGAAAGGCCTTTTGAATCTTGTAGATTGTTATACTTAGATAATTTTTTTCATTGGCTTTTTACTCTTAGGGGATTTGTGTATAATGCTTCAAAATGTAGAGAGTATTTTATTTATTTGTTTGTTTTTATATAGAGAAAAAGAAGAATCCATTCAGCTTCATCAGGAAGCTTGGGAACGACATCATTTAAGAAAGGAACTTCGTAGCAAAAACCAAAATGCTCCGGACAGCCGACCAGAGGAAAACTTCTTCAGCCGCCTCGACTCAAGTTTGAAGAAAAATACTGCTTTTGTCAAGAAACTAAAAACTATTACAGAACAACAGAGAGACTCCTTGTCCCATGATTTTAATGGCCTAAATTTAAGCAAATACATTGCAGAAGCTGTAGCTTCCATCGTGGAAGCAAAACTAAAAATCTCTGATGTGAACTGTGCTGTGCACCTCTGCTCTCTCTTTCACCAGCGTTATGCTGACTTTGCCCCATCACTTCTTCAGGTCTGGAAAAAACATTTTGAAGCAAGGAAAGAGGAGAAAACACCTAACATCACCAAGTTAAGAACTGATTTGCGTTTTATTGCAGAATTGACAATAGTTGGGATTTTCACTGACAAGGAAGGTCTTTCCTTAATCTATGAACAGCTAAAAAATATTATTAATGCTGATCGGGAGTCCCACACTCATGTCTCTGTAGTGATTAGTTTCTGTCGACATTGTGGAGATGATATTGCTGGACTTGTACCAAGGAAAGTAAAGAGTGCTGCAGAGAAGTTTAATTTGAGTTTTCCTCCTAGTGAGATAATTAGTCCAGAGAAACAACAGCCCTTCCAGAATCTTTTAAAAGAGTACTTTACGTCTTTGACCAAACACCTGAAAAGGGACCACAGGGAGCTCCAGAATACTGAGAGACAAAACAGGTGATTTTCAAATGTTTCTCAGAGTTGAGAATTTATTTTGGAGCTCATACTTAAAAATGTTTAAAGTCTTCATGCCACTGAAAGAACTTATGGAAAAGGGCTCCTTACAGGTGATTTCTTAACATTCCAGGAAAATTTCAAAGTAGAACAGTCTGAGTACTCATGTTTTAATGTGAGTCTACGATAGATTTTGTTTCTGATTTTAAAAAAATCTGCCAAGTAGATGGTGATTTTTGCTTTGTGGATGTGTATTCTTCCTGTGATTTTAAATACTCCTTAATAATCAAGGGGTAAAATTTCCTTTTCTGTCACTTAAACTTACCTGCTAATATTTTTCTGTGTGCTTTAACGTTCTCTCTATAACAGGTTTGCTTTCATTGTTTTGTATTTTAAGTTCTTTATGTCACTGTTGCTCTTCTTAAGAAAATGAGTCATTAATTACCAGTGGTATTTCAGATTAGAGTTTTGGGAAATAATGCACAAAATTAGCTGTGAAAAAATTTCTTAAATGCAACTACAAAACTCATTTGTAGGAGTCTTCTTCCTGGGGGCATTCATTTAAAATTCTAAAGGAGGAATGTACTGTGCCTGTGGTAATTGGTGAAAAGACCTGACTTTGGGGCCAATTTTGGTTGTTAAAAGGTATGGTAGACTACTGTGTAGTATTTGTACCTGAGGAGCAACAAGAAGCTAGAAGTTGATGGAGTTGCTAGGCATTAGGTCAATTTCTATGGAGGATGGATTTGGAGGGGGGCTGAGGGAGTGTAGCAAAGAGGTAATAGCCATAGCACGTGGCTGAGTATTAAACTATTTTAATATTTCTACAACTATTTATATTGCATGGTTGAGAATCTGAAATTACTGTTGATCAGAAATTTGTATAGGAGGAGATCCTTTTCTAGTTTCATAAGTCTGTGGTAGGGGAGGAGTGGTTTAAGTAGTTACCACTAGAAGATGATTGACCAGAAGATTGAACAGGAGTAGTGTATGCCAGTAGTACAGTTAGGGCAGGGTCAAGGTAGAGACTGTGGTTAAATCTTTGTGGCTGAAGGTCACTCAGAGGTGAGAATTTAAGACGGCAAAGGTGTTATCAATAGTTCTTTTAGGAAAAAGGAAAAGGCTTATCCTTGTTTTGTGTTTTGATTTGCGAGGACTGGTTTAAACTTTGAAGAGGCAACCTGAGAGTGTACTTGTACCATCAGTAATGGACTAAAAAGGATTATGGTGGTGCTTTATTCATACTTCTCACTTACTTAGGGCTTAATTATGATTTCCATATGCTTTGTCAATTTCATAGTCCTTTGCTCGTACATCCTACCTAATACATCATAACTGATTTGTGAGTATGCTAATAGTATGCTAATGATTGATTAGTTCTTGGCTACTTTGAGGGTGTATGTGTGTGTATTTGCTTTTGATTGGACTCAGAATCTTGGAGAGTGGAGAGATTCTACGATGTTTTAATCCAATCCATTCACCTTTCCAAAGTAGGAATACATTTTTTAGATTATCTAACAGATAAAATTATTTTTCCTCTGAATACTTCCCAAAGGAGCTCAGTTCTCTCGGTGCCATTGCACTGTTGGAAACACTATGGGCTAGGAATTCTTTGTTACATCAGGTGGAAATTTAACTTCCCACAAAATGATTCCCTTTGATTTGGTTCTTTTTTCTGGTATGGATGGAATACAGGTACTTGAAGTAGGAAATCTATGAACTTGTAACCTGTTCACAATTTAATGAAACACAGAAAGTGAGAGTGAGCATTTAGAAATTATTATAGGAATTTTCAGGCTGGAAATGGTGGCTCACACCTGTAATCCCAGCACTTTGGGAGGCCAAGGTGGGTGGATCATCTGAGGTCAGGAGTTTGAGACCAGCCTGGCCAACATGGTGAAACCCCGTCTCTACTAAAAATGCAAAAATTAGCCGGGCATGGTGGCAGGCCCCGGTAATCCCAGCTACTTGTGGGGGACTGAGGCAGGAGAATCACTTGACCCTGGGAGGTGGAGGTTGCAGTGAGCCGAGATTGTGCCATTGCACTCCAGCCTGGAGGACAAGAGCGAGACTTCGTCCTAAAAAAAAAAAAAAAAAAAAAGTTTATAGGAATTTTCAGTGGTCATGGTATTCTTACTATATTTTTACAGAAGTGTCCAGTGGTTGGGGAAGGAAAGGTGGCCCTTTACCACAGATGGTTTGAGGAATACCAGTAGAGGACATATGTGTCCACTTTTATTCCCATGACAGTATCTCAGATATTCAGACTGCCGTGATGTTTCCCTTTTCTCGTCTCCATGTTAAATACCTCCAGTTCTTTCAGTTTGCTCCATGATTTCCAGACACTTCACTACTCTTAGGATACTTGTTTTGGATGCATTCTTTTCTATCTGTGACCTAAAATTGCCTTAGTTTTTATAGCTACCTTGTTGTTCTTTTGGTTTTTGTTAAACTTATTTGCACTGAAGCTTTATTTCTCATATGAACTGCTGACAAGCCACTTCTTCTTCACCTTAAACTAGTGAAATACAATTTTTAAAGCCTAAATGTGTACTTGCATATCTCTGTTAAACTTTATTTAGATGCTTTTTGTATATTATTTTAGCTTTATGAAAGCTTTGGATATTGATTACATGTGTATTATTAATAGTACTGGCAGGGTGCGGTGGCTCACGCCTGTAATGTCAGCACTTTGGGAGGCTGAGGCAGAAGGATCGCTTGAGCCCAGGAGTTTGAGACTAGCCTGGGCAACATGCTGAAACCCCATTGCTACAAAAAATATAAAAATTAGCTGGGTGTGGTGGCATGCGCTTGTAGTCTCAGCTACTTGGGGGCTGAGGTGGGAGGATCAGTTGAGCCTGGAAAGTCGAGACTGCAGTAAGCCATGATCGCACCACTGCACTCTAGCCTGGGCGACAGAGAGAGACCCTGTCTCGAAACAAAAACTGAATAGTGCTTATCTTCTGGTCACATTCAGCTTTGATAAGCAGCTCTTCTATTTTATTATTCAAGTCATTGATAAAAATTTGAAAAGGATGTGGTTAAGAATACAGCTTTGTGGCTTTTCCTTAGAAACTTTTATCCATTTGTTACAGAACTATTAATCCACAGTTATTTGAGAAGTTTACTTACATAGTGTAAACTGACCTTAGTATTGTCACAGCCTATTTATTTATTTATTTATTTATTTATTTATTTAGAGATGGAGTCTTACTGTCTCCCAGGCTGGAATGCAGTGTCATGGTCTTGGCTCACTGCAACCTTTGCCTCCCGGGTTAAAGCAATTCTCCTACCTCAGCTTCCCAAGTAGCTAGGATTACAGGCCTGCGCTGCTACACCCAGCTAATTTTTGTATTTTTAGTAGAGATGGGGTTTCACCATGTTGGCCATGCCGGTCTCAAACTCCTGACCTCAGGTGATCTGCACACCTCGGCCTCCCAGAGTGCTGGGATTACAGGCGTCAGCCACCGTGCCTGGCCATCATAGCCTTTTTATGATGGGAGACTTTGCTCATTTAGATGTAATGATTTGAGGATGTGAGAATCTTAATCACCATGTAGAAAATAATTGGCATATGGCTTAATAAATCACTCATGCCTTAGGATAGCTTCAACTTGAGCAGCCACTATAGAGAAGATGCAGATACGTGACTGAGCAAAAGACATGAGGAATGGATTAGTGCACAATCCCTATTGGCCTAATGATAGTTTCCTACCTTCTGCAAGGGTACATTATGGTGTTCTGCTAAAATGATCATTTTGTCCCTCCCAGTCATTATCCAGTAGCTGTGTTTTTTTTTTTTTTTTTTTTTTTTTTGTAACAGGGTCTCCCTCTTACCTGGGCTAGAGTGCAGTCGTGTGATCATGGCTCAGTGTAGCCTTGACCTCCTGGGGCTTAAGGGATCTTCCCACCTCAGGCTGTCAAGTAGCTGAGACTACAGGCACGTGCTACCATGCCTGGTTATTTTTTAAATTTTTTTATAGAGAGGGAGCTCCCTATGTTGCTCAGGCTGATCTCAAACTTCTGGGGTCAAGCGATCCTCCTGCCTTGGCCTCCCAAAGTGTTGGGATTATAGGTGTGAGCCACTGTGCTCGGTGCCACCCCACCTTTAATTAATAAATAAATTAATTAATTTTTCGAGACGGGGTTTCCCTGTGTTGCCCAGGCTGGAGTACAGTGGCGTGATCTTGGCTCGCTGCAACCTCCGCCTCCTGGGTTCAAGCAATTCTCCTACCTCAGCCTCCTGAGTAGCTGGGACTATAGGCACATGCCACCACACCCAGCTAATTTTTGTATTTTTAGTAGAGACGGGGTTTCGCCATGTTGCCCAGGCTCGTCTCGAACTCCTGACCTCAGATGATCTGCCTGCCTTGGTCTCCCAAAGTGCTGGGATTATAGGCGTCAGCCACTGTGCCCACCCCCCATCCCAAACTTTAAAAGAATTTTTGTAAACATAGAGATATGGTCTCACACTGTTGTCCAGGCTGGCCTCGAACTCCTGGGTTCAAGCAATCCTCCTGCCATGGCCTCCCAAACTTCTGGGTTTACAAGTGTGAGCCACTGCACCTCTCATCTAGTAGGTGTTTTGAGGTTTTTCTACATCATAGGACTAAATAATGGGCAATAGTTCTTCCAGTAAGGTTTCCCTGAGGTGTGATAAAGCAAGAAAACTAAGCTAGCTGATATTTAAGATTCCTACCTAGTTAAATTTCTTTAAGCATTTTATTCAATATCTTTTATTATTTTATTTTGTTTTTTTGAGACAAGGTCTCACTCTGTCACCCAGGCTGGAGTGCAGTGGCAGGCTGAAGTGCTCACTGCAGCCTCCACCTCCCAGCTCAAGCAGTCCTCCATCAACCTCCTGAGTAGCTGGGACCATAGGCACGTGCCACCACACTTGTCTAATTTTTTGTATTTTTGGTGGAGACAGGATTTCTCCATGTTGCCCAGGATGGTCCCAAACTCCTGAGCTCAAGCCACCTGCCTGCCTGAGCCTCCCACAGTGCTGGGATTACAGGCATGAGCCTCTGTGCTTGGCCAATATCTTTTTTTTTTTTTTAGATGGAGTCTCGCTCTGTCCCCCAGGCTGGAGTGCAGTGGCATGGTCTCAGCTTATCACAACCTCCACCTCCTGGGTTCAACCGATTCCCTTGCCTCAGCCTCCCGAGTAACTGGGATTACAGGCATGCACCACCACGCCTGGCTAATTTTAATTCTCTATTTTTTTTTTTTTTTTTAGTAGAGACAGGGTTTCACCATGTTGGCCAGGATGGTCTCGATCTCTTGACCTCATGATCTTCCCGCCTCGGCCTCCCAAAGTGCTAGGATTACAGGTGTGATCCACCATGCCCAGCCGAATATTATTTTTTGTTATACATTTTGGTTAAGTGATTGACCTGGTGAGTTATAATTATTATAAATTTAAAAATGTCATCCAGTAGTATTTGCCTATTTGGAATTAATAGCCTTACTTTCTCAGTGAGTTTTGCCTTTTATAATGTTAAGTGCTCTTTATATGCTTTGAAATGCTTTGTACTTTGAAATATTATAGAGGTCCTATTAGTATATTTTGGGCATTTAATTGGATGAAGAAATGATTTCATTTTCATGGCTATAACTCAATTATGTTACAGAATTTGTTTCTTTCAGTATAGTGAAATCATGAATTCAGGTAGTAGGCTAGAATTCTTGTTTGAGTAATCTCAAAATATCTTTATTCCTTTTTTTCTCCCTAATTGGTGGAAGTGGTAACAAGTTTCTCTTCAGCACCCCTGACTTAGTACCCTCATGATTGCAGGCTTAGTCTAACAGCAGTGAGTTGACAAAGTTCAGGAAAAAAAATTTAAGTAGAATGCAGACTTTTTCGTCTGCCCATTGTTAAAAAAAAAGTCAGAGGTTTCTTTTATGAATGCTAATTCTTGAGGCATTATTGACTGATATTGAAACTTAAAAACACATCAGCCAATAATGAAATGGTACTGCTTTTACTTTCACTTTCCTTCCAGGTGAGTTGTACCTTGCTTCACAGGTAGGTTGTTTAATTGGTAGTTAATACCAATTAATTAATTGGTAGTATTTAAGCACAATTAAGATGTTACTTCTCTGTACTTTAGATTTAGTGTTATAGCTGTAATGTTCTAAGAGCTCTAAAATTATGTCCTAGATATTCTAATTGTGTTTAAATGACTTTGCTGTAGTAGTAGTACCCATTTTAATGGGTACAGTTTTGCTTTGCTATGTTCTAGAGTCTTTTTACAAGATTATGAGATATCCATAAATAATTCTAAAATGAAACCAAAAGAAAATCTAAGATAATTTTTTTCTTTTTTTTTTTTTTGAGACGGAGTCTCCCTCTGTTTCCAGGCTGGAGTGCAGTGGCATGATCTCAGCTCTCTGCAACCTCCGCCTCCCAGGTTCAAGCAATTCTCCTGCCTCAGCCTCCCAAGTCGCTGGGACCACAGGCACATGCCGCCACGCCTGGCTAATTTTTTGTGTTTTAGAAGAGACAGGGTTTCACCATGTTGCCCAGGCTGGTCTCGAACTCCTGAGCTCACACAATCTGCCCTCCTCGGCCTCCCAAAGTGGTAGGATTACAGGAGTGAGCCACTGTGCTGGAGTCTCGCTCTGTCACCCAGGCTGGAGTGCAGTGGCGCGATCCTGGCTCACTGCAACTTCCACCTCCTAGGTTCAAGCGATTCTCCTGCCTCAGCCTCCTGAGTAGCTGGGACTACATGCACCTGCCACCACACTCGACTAATTTTTGTATTTTTAGCAGAGACAGGGTTTCACCATGTTGGCCAGGCTGGTTTCCTGACCTCAAGTGATCCGCCCGCCTTGCCCTCCCAAAGTGCTGAGATTACAGACGTGAGCCACTGCATCCAGCCAAGAAAATCTAAGATAATTCTGAGGCCAATTTTTATTAAAATTGGACAGAATGCTGGAGGAGATATAAAACCCAGCAGTTTTTCTGGGGTCTTCTTCATGATCATTCTTTTAAAGATTTTGTCCATGTGTTATATATAATTTTGTATGACTGCACAAGGGCAAAGTTAAAATGAATGTTCTGTATGTTTGTCAAGACTATTTTCCTTTTTAATTTGGCTAATGATTAATAGAATTTGGCATTGAAATTCTTGCCTTTCCTATGTTAGGCTTTGGCACTTTTTTTCTCATGAAAATATCATTTTACATTAACATAATAAATCCCACATATGATCCTTTTTTTTGAGACAGGGTCTTTCCCTGTCACCCAGGCTGGAGTGTCATGGTGCAGTCATAGCTCACTGCAGCCTCGCTATCTCCCACCTCAGCCTCCCAAGTCGCTGAGACCACAGGTATGCACCACCACACCTGGCTAATTTAAAAAAATTTTTTTTTTTTTGTAGAGACTTGGTTTCATTATGTTGGCCAGGCTGGTCTTGATATCTTGGGCTCAAGTGATCCTCCCACTTTGGCCTCCCAAAGTGCTGAGATTACAGGCATGAGCCACCACATCTGGCCTATATGATCTTAATTGATCCTAACAGTACCTATATTATATAAATGCCTATATTTTGAAGATGGTAAAACAAAGGGATTAAAGGGCTTGCCCAATATAACATGGAAAGTGAGTGATAGAGTCAGGTTCTTTTCTTCTTCTTCATACTGTACTTTTCACAATTATGTAATATCCACCCATATTTACATTTAGCACTTGTTTTTGAAGTGTATAGTATACATGTTAGCCGCTCAATATTTACCAAGTCAAATCCAAACGAGAGAGGGACCCAAAAGAGGAAATAAAATAAACAGTTCTGTGGTGAAGGCTTGCCTTCATGGACGTGTTTGAGAGACATTTTAACTTCACTGTAACATACAAAGTGGATAATTATAATTTGAAAGGCAGCATAGTCCAATATTTCAGAGCGTGGACTCTGGAGCTAGAGCACTGTCATTTGCACATTCTGCAATCTTGGGCAAGTTACCTGGCATCTCTGTGCTTCAGTTTTCCCATCTGTAAAATGGGCATAACAATAGTTCTGTAACTCTGAGGTAAATGTGAATCATATAGTGAATTCATATGTGTAAAAGCACTTAATAACAGTGTCTGGCACATTGTAAGTATTTAGTAAATGTTAGTTAGCTTTTATTAATAGATTGCCTGCCTGACCTTTCTGAAAGACATTTGAATGAGAATTTCTCTTTCTGTCTTTTTATGATTTTATAAATTTTTATGTTAAACTTCTTAAACTTTAGTAGCTTGGCTGAGGCTGGCGGATCACCTGAGGTTGGGAATTCGAGACCAGCCTGACCAATATGGAGAAACGCTGTCTCTACTAAAAATACAAAATTAGCCGGGCGTAGTGGCGCATGCCTGTAATCCCAGCTACTCAGGAGGCTGAGGCAGGAGAATGGCTTGAACCCGGGAGGCAGAGGTTGCGGTGAGCCGAGATTGCGCCATTGCACTCCAGCCTGGGTGACAGAGCGAAACTCCGTCTCAAAAAAATTAAAAAAAAAATAAAATTTATTTTTTAGGATAATACAAAGCAAAAATTAATAAAATGAAGGAAATATAAAAAAGTCAATAAAAATGAAAAAATGGAAAAGAAGAAAAAAGTTCTCTTAATATTAGAATTTTTTAGGCATTAATGAATTTTATTTATGATGTATAATGCTTGACTCAAAAATTGACTGGCTTTTTTGGTTGGTTTTATAATATTAAATTAGTAATATAAAAAACATTCAACTGGGCGTGGTGGCTCATGCCTGTAATCCCAGCGGTTTGGGAGGCTGAGGTGGGCAGATCACCTGACATCAGGAGCCTGAGGCCAGCCTGGCCAACGTGGCAAAACCCCGTCTCTACTAAAAATACAAAAATTAGCCGGGTGTGGTGGCAGGCTCCTGTAATCCCAGCTATGTGGGAGGCTGAGGCAGGGAGAATTGCTTGAACCTAGGAGGCGGAGGTTGCAGTGAGCTCAGATTGCACCACTACACTCCAGCCTGGGCAGCAGAGCGAGAATCCATCTCAAAAACAAAACAAAAAAAAACACTCCATAAAATCAAGGACTGACGTACTTTAGAGATTCTTCTGGACAGTGATGTCTCACGTATGTTGCCGAAAGGAAGGCAATTTTTTTTTATTTTTATAACAAAGCATAAGAGTTGGCATAGATTTTGTTCTCATTACTTACTGTTTATATCTGTAAAAGGGGACAAGTACCTCTCTAGTGTGCAATGATATTGCAGGAGAGAATGTACTAATTTATAAGACATGTAGTAGTGTGACAGGCATTGGCGAACTATGGCTTGTGGGCCAGATTAAGCCTATGACTAGTTTTTCTACAGCCTGTCACCTAAGAATGGTTTTTACTTTTTTAAATGGTTGAAAAATAGTCAAAAGTAGAATGTTTTGGGAAGCATGAAAATGATTTGAAGTTCAAATTTCAGTGTTCATAAATAACATTTTATTACAGTCACCCTCATTTGTTTACATATTGTCTGTGGCAGCTTTTGTGTTATGTTAGCAGAGTTGAGTAGTTTCAGCAAAGACCAAATGGTCTGCAGAGACTGAAATATGTATTGTATGGCCCTTTACAGAAAAAGTTTGCTGACCTCTACTTTATGACATTCTCAAAAGAATGGCTTAAATTCAGCTTTATGTAATTGATGTATTTCTAAAAAGGCAATAATTAAAATATGTGATGAAATCATATTTTCAGCTTGATTTTGGTTATATTTTCAGTGATACATTCCCATGGAATTCACATGAGAAATTTTGGTCATATTTTTTGATAACATTGATGTAAAGCAGAGATACTTGTTGGTCAGATGTGTTGTGTAATATTTAGTTCCCTCAAGTGGGTTTTCAAAAACAATTAAACTGAAAACCTTTTCCTGTGAGTTGCATAAAGTTACAAAAAATACCCTGACATTTTTAGTACCTACATTTAAACATGTTTAATTTCATTAGAATTTCTAAAGGATCCTTGGGTTTATTTATTTATTCATTTATTTTTTGAGGCAGGGTCTCACTCTGTCACCCAGGCTGCAGCACAGTGGCACGGTCACGGCTTACTGCAGCCTCGACCTCCTGGGTTCAGGTGATCCTCCCACCTCAACCTCCTGAGTAGCTAGGACTGTAGGTGCCCACCACCGCATCCAACTAATTTTTGTTTTTTTTTTGTTTTTGAGATGGAGTCTTGCTCTGTCCCCCAGGCTAGAGTGCAGTGGTGCGGTCTTGGCTCACTGCAACCTTTGCCTCCCGGATTCAAGTGATTCTCCTACCTCAGCCTCCTGAGTAGCTGGGATTACAGGTGCATGCCACCATGCCTGGCTAATTTTTGTATTTTTAGCAGAGATGGAGTTTCACCGTGTTGGTCAGGGTGATCTTGAACTCCTGACTTTGTGGTCCACCCGCCTCAGCCTCCCAAAGTGTTGGGATTACAGGTGTGAGCCATAGCACCTGGCCAATTTTTGTATTTTTTGTAAAGATGGAGTTTCACCATGCTGCCCAGGTTGGTCTCGGACTTGTTGGCTCAAGCAATCGGCCCTCCTTGGCCTCCCAAAGTGCTAGGATTACAGGCGTTAGCCGCTGTGCCTGGCCGATCCTTAGGTTTTTAAATGTTCAGGCACTATAATGAGTTATTTCTCTGCTTTGTCTGTATATTGTCTTACTGCATGCTGTGGATTTAGTCAGTTCAGTAAATGTGTATTACTTAGATGTCAAAGAAAGGATATATGGCTACATATGTCAGTTTTATATATAACAGAAGTCATACTGTATTAATTGGCATTCTGTCCTGCTAACCAAGTGCTCGGTGTAAGACATCATTAAAAACAAAACAAAACAAAAGAAAAAATCTGGGGGTTGGAGGGCCAGGGGAGGGATAACATTAGGAGAAATACCTAACGTAGATGACAGGTTGATGGGTGCAGCAAACCACCATGGCACGTGTATACCTATGTAACAAACCTGCACGTTTTGCACATGTATCCCAGAACTTAAAGTATAATAATAATAAAAAAATGGGAGTAAAAGGCTTATGGAGCTATAAAACGAACAAACAAAACCCCAAATCTAAACTTTTCTTGAGGACTATTCTCACTGAATAGTAACTTAAGTACACACTCATTAGTTAGGTAAGTTAGTGCTGTTAATGCATTTGATCATGGAATTAAGGGGAGGGTAAGGAGTATCAGTGAAGCTTTAAAGTTTTAGTTGGTTCCAGCAGTACTGGAGAGGAACTGGAAAGCAGACTCAGGGAACCATCATAGAATGAAATCACTTTTAATGGACTCAGCGCAAAGTCACAGGCAAATCCACACGTGAAAGTGAGGAAAAGGACTGTTCATTTTTGTTTTCATAAGGTAGTCATCACCTTGCTACTGCTTATATGTTAGAAATCCTTAGTGTGATTATTATGTATCTCAATGGACTGGATGTTTGTTCTTTGGATGACCAAAATGTCAGAACTTGTTAAGAGAATTAAAGTTTTGGGTTATGTTATTCTGAGATATATTTTCCGATTTCTTTTCAAGTATGAAATAATGTTGCATAGTAATTGTCATTAGGGGTTTTGAAATCTCTTAGAACCAGTATTATCCCTTTAATATAATTTGCTTCAGAATAAACTCTTCGGTTTTTGTTCTTTAATTTTTTTTCAGACTAAAGTGCCATGGAATAAACTCTTCAATTTTTACCTGTTAACATTTTTCTTAATACATTGAAGATTTTTTTTTTTTTTTTTCCGAGATGGAGTCTCGCTCTGTTGCTCAGGCTGGAGTGCAATGGTGCAATCTCAGCTCACTGCAACCTCTGCCTTCCGAGTTCAAATGATTCTCCTGCCTCAGCCTCCCAAGGAGCTAGGATTACAGGCACCCACCATCGTGCCCGGCTAATTTTTATGTTTTTGTAGAGACGAGTTTTCACCATGGGCCAGGCTGATCTTGAACTCCTCACCTCAGGTGATCCGCCTGCCTCGGCCTCCCAAAGTGCTGGGATTATAGGCGTGAACCACCGTGCCCGGCCCTACATTGCAGATATTTTTAAGTAACTTACTTCTTTTTCTTTTTTTTTTTAGACAGTCTTGCTCTGTCGCCCAGGCTGGAGTACAGTGGTGCAATCTTGGCTCACTGCAACCTCTGCCTCCCGGGTTCAAGTGATTCTCCTGGCTTAGCCTCCCAAGTAGCTGGGATTACAGGCACCTACCACCACACCCGGCTAATTTTTGTATTTTTAGTAGAGACAGAGTTTCACCATATTGGCCAGGCTGGTCTCAAACTCCTGACCTTGTGATCCTCCCACCTCGGCCTTCCAAAGTTCTGGGATTACAGGCGTGAGCCACCGCGCCCAGCCTAAGTAACCTACTTCTGAGCATTACTTATTCGAGTATTTTATTTAATTTTGGCCGAGTGTGGTGGCTCACACCTGTAATCCCAACATTTTGGGAGTTTGAGGTGGGAGGATTGCTTGAGGCCAGGAGTTTGAGACCAGCTTGGCCAACATAGCCAGACTCCCGTCTCTACAAAAAATAAAAGTAAATTAAAAAAAATTTTTTTTAAATGACTTTTCACTTCCAAAATGAGTTCTATTAGAACTTCTGATTAAAAGTTTTAACAAGCTCAGAGTGCTAATGTTGTGTCTTTCATAGGTATGAGTATGTTAAAATGCTATGGGTTTTTGTTTTAATTTTTAAAATTCATTCACAAAATTACTGAAAAAATTTTGTTTGTGTTTGTAACAGTAGTCTGAAACACATGTTTGAAGAGGGGGAAACATGCTCTCTAATGACAATATTTTTAGAGAAGCACTTTTTAGCCTGGCTTATTATGGTTAAACTATTTCAACATTTTACTAATGTGTTGGTAGAATGATATCTAATATATATTTAAATAATAAGAAAATGAAATTTCTCATTTTAGACCCTAATAGACCAGATTTGAAAAGAGGAAATAACTGGATTTCATGAATCTATGCACTGATGCACTTGTAATGGGAACTAATATTCGGAAAATTGAAAATATTGTTACTTGAATTGTTATAGTATTTATTTATTTATTTATTTATGAGACAAGAGTCTGACTCTGTCACCCAGGCTGGAGTGCAGTGGCACGATCTCGGCTCACTGCAACCTCCGCCTCCCAGGTTCAAGCGATTCTTCTGCCTCGGCCTCCTGAGTAACTGGGATTACAGGTGCCCGCCACTGCACCTGGCTAACTTTTGTATTTTTAGTAGAGACGAGGTTTTGCCATGTTGACCAGGCTGGTCTCAAACTCCTGACCTCAGGTGATCCGCCTGCCTCGTCCTCCCAGAGTGCTGGGATTATAGGCGTGAGTCACCATGCCTGGCCGAATTGTTATAGTACTGAAACAAAAGCTTATGTGAGTAGAAATAGGGTAAAATGGGAAAGTTTTGACATTGTTTCAAATAATCTGGGAAGAATAAGTATAGGCATTATTTTTCTGCCTTTTTCTCTGTAACTTTTAGAAGATGGAAGATGGCATTACAGAAAACCTCGTTTTCTTCACTGTTTGTAAGAAAACGCAAATAACAAGAAATAAAAAACTTCTAAGTATTACTTGTAAAAATAACTTTTATAATTTATAATTGACTTTTTGAAACAATGTATTTGCATTATGGTTTATAAATTTCAAATATTATAGTACCACATGGATATTTTGTATGTAAAAAATTGGATCCAGCTATATAATTCTCAGTGATTTATACGAATATAATAAGACTTTTACTCTATACATTTTGGTGTTTTCAGTAGTTTTGCATTTGTAGTTAGGGGCTTATTGGTGTATTCTTGCAAAGTGGAAGAGTGGTTATGTCCTTAGTTCCTTGATAAGGGCTGGCCTGAGTGAGTGGACTTCTCAGTATTTGTTACCTGGATAAATAACCAGTACTTGCACAGTAGATTGAGAATTGGCTGTGTGGAAGATTGTGGGCTTTTTCAAAAGATAATCTTGATTCAAATCATTATGGAAGTTTAAGGATAACTGATTCTGTTTCTTTTGAACCTATTCAAAATCTGTTGGTTTTGAAAACTGAGTTGTGTAGTTGTGTTAAATATTTTTGGTTAGTTCTGTATGTCTGAGGGGAGTATGACAGTAATAAAAAACCAAATAATTTTTGATTATTTTGTGATATATTGTTAAATATGATATTTCTGATTCAAATCATGGAGGTTTAAGAATAATTGATTCTTTGTATAACCTGTTTCTTTTGAAAATTGGCTTGTGTAGTTGTGCTAGTTTTGGTTAACTCTATATCTGAGAAGAGTGTGACTGTAATAAAATACTGAATAATTTAAAATTATTTAGATGTATATTGTTAAATATTGTATTTCAGCAAGCATGCTGCATATTCTTTGAGGAACCAGTGTTAAAATTTAAATGTTCAGGTGAATTTCATTATACATTTCAGATACATTTTGAAAATACTAGATTCAAATGTTAAATAAAAATGAAGATTTTACTAAATTTGTATGAGAAAATCAAATTATGGAATGTTTCCCATATATAACAATTTGTGATCACATCTATTTTGATAAGACTGTCAGATGATTTCATTTGTTTATAGGCGCATTCTACATTCTAAAGGGGAGCTCAGTGAAGATAGACATAAACAGTATGAGGAATTTGCTATGTCTTACCAGAAGCTGCTGGCAAATTCTCAATCCTTAGCAGACCTTTTGGATGAAAATATGCCAGATCTTCCTCAAGACAAACCAACACCAGAAGGTAAGAGATATCCTTAAAAACAAACATTGTGTTTTCTGTAAGCACTGTCACTTACCTTTAGGCTTATCAGATGTGCAGTATTGAGAATTTAAGTTTTTAAAATGGCGTCAACATTTTCAAAATGGGCCAAGCATGGTGGCTCATGCCTGTAACCTCAACACTTTGGGAATCCAAGGTAAGAGGATCGCTTGAGACCAGGAGTTTGATAGCAGCCTGGGCAACATAGTGAGACCCCATCTCTATTAAAAAAAACTTTTCTTAAATAAAGAAATGGTATTAAAACCTATTGATAACCTTGAAAAGCTATTTGAAATGATCCCTGAATGGAAGAGTCTCTGGACCTAGAAAATAATAACTCATGATAATATGATGAGTTCATTCAGGTTCTTGTGTAATAGATAGATATCTTTGAATTTCCTGGCAATTCTGTTTACTTAGAAATCTTAAGGGTGGCCGGGCGCAGTGGCTCATGCCTGTAATCCTAGCACTTTGGGAGGCCGAGGCGGGAGGATCACAAGGTCAGGAGTTCAAGACCAGCCTGACCAACATTGAAACGCCATCTCTACTAAAAATACAAAAATTAGCTGGGTGTGGTGGCACGTGCCTGTAGTCCCAGCTACTTGGGAGGCTGAGGCAGGAGAATTGCGTGAACCTGGCAGGCAGAAGTTGCAGTGAGCCGAGATTGTGCCACTGCACTCCAGCCTGGATGACAGAGTGAGACCCTGTCTCAAAAAAAAAAAAAAAAATTTTAGGGGTGAAGTATTTGTAAAATATCCTTCTATAATTAAAGAAAAATTTATATTTAATATCCTCAGTAAGAAATACCTATTGTATACTGTGAATGCATTTATTGTATTTATATATAATAATGTACATAATTCTTACACTTTTTTTTTTTTGAGACAGAGTCTTGCTCTGTCGCTCAGGCTGGAGTGCAGTGGCACAATCTCGGCTCACTGCAGCCTCTGCCTCTTGGGCTCAAATGAGTCTCCTGCGTCAGTCTCCCAAGTAGCTGGGACTGCAGGTGTGCACCACCATGTCTGGCTAATTAGAGGCAAGGTTTTACCATGTTTCTCAGGCTGGTCTCAAACTCCTTAGCTCAAGCAGTCCTCCTGCCTTGGCCTCCCAAAGTGCTGAGATTATAGGTGTGAGCCACTGCACCCAGGCTCTTATTCAATATCTCAAAGCTCATTCTCAAACTTTTTAAATGTTTTTTTTTTTTTTTTTGGCGGAGTCTTGCTCTGTTGCCCAGGCTGGAATGCAGTGGTGCGGTCTCTGCTCACTGCAAGCTCCGCCTCCCAGGTTCAGGCCATTCTTCTGCCTCAGCCTCCCGAATAGCTGGGACTACAGGCACCCACCACCACGCCCACCTAAGTTTTTGTGTTTTTAGTAGAGACGGGGTTTCACCATGTTAGCCAGGATGATCTCGATCTCCTGACCTCATGATTGAGAATTGGCTGTGGGCCGAGGTACACCTCGGCCTCCCAATGTGCTGAGATAACAGGCGTGAGCCACTGTGCCTGGCCAAACTTTTTAAATGTTTTAAAAAAGTTTCATCATAGAATTTGTGTTTTGGTTGACCCTGGCTTGTTTCTCAGAACTTTCTCAGTATATTTGTTAAGATATTTTAGAACCAAAATCTCTTTATAATATTTAGCATATGGCTGGGTGCGGTGGCTCACGCCTCTAATCCCAGCACTTTGGGAGGCCAGGGCAGGTGGATCATGAGGTCAGGAGTTCGAGAACAGCTTGGCGCAACATGGTGAAACCGTGTCTCTACTAAAGATACAAAAGCTAGCTGGGCATGGTGGTGTGCGCCTGTAATCCCAGCTACTCAGGAGGCTGAGGCAGGAGAATGGCTTGAACCTGGGAGGCGGAGGTTACAGAGAGCCAGGCTCGCGCCATTGCACTCCAGCCTGGGCAAGACTCCGTCTCAAAAAAAAAAAACATTTAGCATACTTGGGTATTGATTTAGGTGGTTTCTTTACCCCTTTTCTCTAATTGTCATACTGAAATTTAAGCTAATTTTTCTTTTCATTTTAAATGACTTTAAATTTATTATTATTATTATTATTTTTGAGACAGAGTTTCGCTCTTGCTGCCCAGGCTGGAGTGCAAAGGCGCGATCTCGGCTCACTGCAACTTCTGCCTCCCAGGTTCAAGCAATTCTCCTGCCTCAGCCTCCTGAGTAGCTGGGATTACAGGCATGTGCCACTACACCCGGCTAATTTTGTATTTTTAGTAGAGACAGGGTTTCTCCATGTTGGTCAGGCTGGTCTCGAACTCCCAACCTCAGGTGATCTGTCCGTCTCAGCCTCCCAAAGTGCTGGGATTACAGGTGTGAGCCACTGCGCCCTGTCATGACTTTAAATGTATTTTTAGACATTTTCCAGAATTAATAGACCTTGAAAAAATTCTGTCATTGTTTTTATTTTTATTTTTGGAGACAGGCTGGAATGCGATGGTGCAGTCCCGGCTCACTGCAACCTCTGCATCCCAGGTTTAAGCAACTCTTGTGCCTCAGCCTCCCAAGCAATAACTGGGACTACAGATATGCGCCACCAAGCCCAGCTAATTTTTGCATTTTTAGTAGAGATGGGGTTTCACCATGTTGGTCAGGCTGGTCTCGAACTTTGAGCTCAAGTGATCTGCCTGCCTCACCCTCCCCAAGTGCTGGGATTACAGGCATGAGCCACTGTGCCCAGCCCTGTCATTGTTTTTAAAAGATCTTTTTGGCCCGGCATGATGGCTTATGCCTGTAATACCAGGGCTTTGGGAGGCCAAGGCAGGAGGATTGCTTGAGGCGAGTTTGAGACTAGCCTGGGTAACATAGCGAGACCCTGTCTCTACAAAAAATTTTAAAAAATAAAACAAATTTAGCCAGTCATGTGGCACAAGCCTGTAGTCCTAGCTACTTGGGAGGCTGAGGTGGGAAGATTGCATGAGCCCAGATGTTCAAGGTTACAGTTAGATAATGATCACACCAGGCACTCCAGCCTGGGTGATAGAGTGAGACTCTATCTCTTAAAAAAAATTTTTTTTTCAGACATAGAACTTAAGGGCAAGAGTTTTTTTTTCTTTCAGTACTTTAAAGATGTTACTCCTCTGTCTTCTAGCTTGCATTGTTCCATCAAGAATGCTCCTACCTTTCTGACCTTTGTTCTTATTTATATAATCTATATTTTTTTCTCTCATTGTTTTAAAATTTTTTCATTATCGCTGATTTCAAGCATTAGTTATGGTGTAGCTTGGTGTGGTTTTCTTCGTTTCTTGTACTTCGGGTTCCTTGAACTTCTTAGATCTGTGGGTGTATAGTTATCATCAAATTAGGAAAATCTTGACCTTTATTTTTCAATTGTGTTTTCTCTTTCCTTCTTCGTCACCTCTCCTATAGGGACTCAATTACAAGTATTTTAGGTTGTTCAGTTGTCCCACAGTTCATTGATGTCCTTTCCTTTTTGTTCTTCGTTATTTTTTCCTGCCTTTCCTTTTGGATAGTTTCTGTTGTTATGTCTTCAAGTTCACTAATCTTTTCTTCTACGGTGTCTAATAACTTAATTCCATTTAGAGAAGTCATTTTTTATATCTATGTCTTGTCATATTTTCTTTGTATCTGACATGTTCAATCTTGTAGCTTGTTGAACATATGAAATACAGTTACAATAACTGTTTTAAAGTCCTTGTCTACAAATCTTGTCATCTGTGTGATTTCCGAGTTGGTTTCAATTGATTGCAGTTGCTTGACCTCCTTTGCATGTCTGGTCATTTTTCTACTTCTTTGGCTGCCCGCTTATGTTTTATTGGATGTGTCCTGGATATTTTTGTATTCTTATAAATATCATTAAGCGTCATCCTGGGTTGCAGTTAAGTTACTTGGAAATAGTTTCATCTTTGAAAGGATGCTTTGTTAGGAGGTACCAGAGCAGCCTTTAATCTAAAGCTAATTTTTCCTAATACTGAGGCAGTATCTTTCTGGACTTTTTCTGATAAAGTAGAGTCATAGAAGATTCTTCCAGTCAGCCTTGTGGGTATACAGACTATTCCTGGTCCCATGAGCCTCTCTGTGAGTCTTAATTCTTTTCAGTAGTTATTTTCCCAGTCTCACCTAGTTTCCTCACACATAGAGGCTGATCAGTACTCAGGTGAACATTTTGTTTCCTTATACATAGGAGCTGATCAGTACTCAGCTGAATGTTCAAGGAGACTCTGCAAATGTTTTGAAGTTTATCTTTGTGCTGGTTTCTCCTCTCTGGTACTGTGTCCTGGGAACTCTGCCTACCTTGGGTAGAGTATTACCAGACCCTCAGCTCTCATCCTCAACTCAGGGAGACTGCCTGGCTTCTCTCTTACTTGGCCACAGCCTGGAAAAATCTCTTTATGAAGTAAGCTGGGGCAATTGTAGAGCTGAGTTTTTCGTCTGCTCCCTATCAGGGATTATTTTCCTATACTGCCTGATGTCCAGTGTTTGAAAATCATTGTTTTAATATTGTTTGCTTGAATCTTTAGTTATTTTGGGTCACTGATATAGTACTTCACCTTGTGCAGAAGAGGCTTACATTGTCCAGTGATCAGAATATCCTTTATTCTATAGCCACTTTTTCCAGTTAATCATGTCTTAGATTTTTTTCATTTTAATACATTAGTGCCATCTAATTATTTTTAATTGCTACATAGTAATATCCTTTTGTATGGTTGTTCTGTAATTTACTTGTCCTCTGTTGATTAACACTTAATATTTCTGGCTTTTAGCTATTATTGTCAGTGCTGTAACAAAATCTCTGAACCTGCTTCTTTCTGTATATATGCTAGTATTTACAGGATACATTTCTAGAAGTAGAATTCTTGGGTTAAAAGGATATATGCATTTTAAGTTTCAATATATGATGCCATATTTTCTATTAAAGAAATTTACAGCAACCCAAATGCCCATCAATAATACACTAGATAGAGAAAATGTGGTACATATACACCATGGAATACTATGCAGCCATAAAAAAGAGTGAGTTCATGTCCTTTGCAGGGACATGGATGAAGCTGGAAGCCATCATTCTCAGCAAACTAACATAGGAAAAAAACCAAATACCACATGTTCTCACTCATAAGTGGGAGTTGAACAGTGAGAACACATGGACACAGGGAGGGGAACAACACACACTGGGGCCTGTTGGGAGGTTGGGGGTAAGGGGAGGGAGAGCATTAGGACAAATACCTAATGCATGCGGGACTTAAAACCTAGGTGACGGGTTGGTAAGTGCAGCAAACCACCATGGAACATGTATACCTATGTAACACACCTGCACATTCTGCACATGTATCTTGGAACTTAAAAAAAAAAATTTACATGCCACTAAGTGTATGAGAATGAATGTTTCTTTTTTTTTTTTTTTTTTTTTTGAGGTGGTGTCTTGCTCTGTCACCCAGGCTGGAGTACAGTGGTGCGATCTAAGCTCACTGCAAGCTCCGCCTCCCGGGTTCAAGCGATTCTCCTGCCTCAGCCTCCTGAGCAGCTGGGACTACAGGCATGTGTCACCATGCCTGGCTAATTTTTTGTATTTTTAGTAGAGATAGGGTTTCACTATGTTAGCCAGGATGGTCTCAATCTCCTGACCTCGTGATCTGCCCACCTCGGCCTCCCCAGGTGCTAGGATTACAGGTATGAGCCACTGCGCCTGGCCTGAGAATGACTGTTTCTTTACACTCTTACCACATTGCAGTTCTTAATTTTTAAATTTGAAGTCAGGTTTTAGCATCTTTAAGTTTATTGGCTGTTTTATAAATGTATTATTTTCCCTGTGAAATTCCTATTTGAATCTTTTATACCCCCACCCCCTGTCCTTTTTCCCCTTGTATCTTTTTAAAAAATTGATTTATAAAAGCACTTGGGAGGCTGAGGTGAGTGGAGCACTTGAGGTCAGGAGTTCTAGACCAGCCTGGCCAACATGGTGAAACCCCATCCCTACAAAAAATACAAAAGTTAGCTGGGTATTGTGGAGTGCGCCTGTAATCCCAGCTACTTGGGAGACTGAAGTGAGACAATTGCTTGAACCCAGGAGGCAGAGGTTGCAGTGAGCTGAGATTGCACTCCAGCCTGGGTGACAGAGCGAGACTCCATGTCAGAGAGAAAAAAAAAAAGCACTTTGTATATTAAGGAAATTATTATTATTATTATTATTATTATTATTATTATTACTTTGAGACGGCGCCTTGCTGTGTTGCCCAGGCTGGAGTGCAGTGGCGCGTTCACAGCTCACTGCAAGCTCTGCTCCCCGGGTTCACACCATTTTCCTGCCTCAGTCTCCTGAGTAGCTGGGACTACAGGTGCCTGCCACCACGGCCGGCTAATTTTTTTGTATTTTTAGTAGAGACGGGGTTTCACTGTGTTAGCTAGGATAGTCTCGATCTCCTGACCTCGTTATCCACCTGCCGCAGCCTCCCAAAGTGTTGGGATTACAGGCGTGAGCCACTGTGCCCGGCCGACGGAAATTATATTTTTTATATGCATTGCAACTATCACTCCTCTGTTTTTCTCTTGTCCTGTGCCTGTGATATTCCTATTTTTTATTACTTTTGATTTGGTAGTATTTTTACCTCTCAAAAGTTGAATTTCTTTTTTATGATTTACATTATTTTTTAGATACACAAAATATTTATGCATATTATAGATTAAAAAGTGAAAGTTTACTGTCAGATGCATTACATTCTCCAAGGTAACCACTCTTAACAGCTTGATAGTAATGTGTCCAGACTTTACTTTTTTCCAGAAAATATATATAATCAGATATCTCTAGCTTCATTAACTTAGGTGAGATATTTTGCATGATTTCCTTTATTGTTTCAATTATTATTTTTGAGAGCTTTCTGAGTCAGTTCTTGTAGATACATCTCATTCCTTTTAACACCTGATTAATATTACATAGTTGTCTTAGTCTTTTCAGGCTGCTGTAACAAAATACCCTAGACCGGGCAACTTATGAACAACAGAAACTTGTTCCTCTGTCTGGAGTCTGGGAAGTCTAAGATCAAGGTGCCAGCCAAGTTGGTGTCTGGCGAGGACTCTGCTTCACAGATGGGTGGGTGAGTGGGGCTGAAAGTTCTAAGCCTGTAATCACTCGGTCTTTCTGGTGACTTGGCTCCATCGTAGAGACCATCCAGAGACTCCACCCTAAGTCACCTCATTAGCATCAGCTGAGGTAGGATCAAAAAGCTTGTTATGAATAACAAAATACATTCCTTTCACTCAGGAAATTCTAAGGGTTTTAGGAGGTCTGCCAGGAACCAAGGACAAACACCAAATATATTCATTATACTATGCTCTATATATTATGGATGTATTCTTTAAATATTGTCAATATTGTCTTCCAGTTTGTTTTTTGCTTTTGTTTATACTTTTCATTAAACAGAAGTTGTAAATATGTCAGTGTTTTTCTTTTTGGTGTATGGGTTTAGTGTCCTAATAAGTCTGTGTTTAAATATATTTTCTGTAAGGAAAGTAAGGAGTTTCGAGGAGCCAGTGTTTTTTTTGTTTTTGGTGTTCTTATTTTCATAAATCACATTTAATGAATAATCTAACTTACGGTTAATTTTAATTTACATAATCTATTTATAATTCTCATTTGGAGAGAAGTATGTGAGAGTAGATAAGTTCATGAATGGGCTCATAATCATAAAGTAGGAAGTTAATTACTTTCAGTGTTCTGAGTTTATGATCTATAGTTGTATGTACTGCATGTGTGTAAATAGGTACATACTTTCCATTCTCTAATAAGAGATCTGTACGCTTCATCTTTCTTCCCTTCTTTTCCAGTTATCAATTGACTGACATTTATGGCATAAAAGAAAATAAAGGCTGAGCGTGGTCACGCATGCCTGTAATCCCAGCACTTTGAGAGGCTGAGGCAGGTGGATCCCCTGAACTTAGGAGTTTGAGACCAGCCTAGGCAACATAATGAAACCCCATCTCTACTAAAAATGGAAAAATTAGCTGGGCTTGATGACGCATGCCTGTAGTCCCAGCTACTCAGGAGGTTGAGGCAGGAGGATTGCATGAGCCCAGGATTTCGAGGCTACAGTAAGCTATGATCATGTCACTGCACGCCAGCCTTGGCAGCAGAGTGAGACCCTGTCTCAATTCAAAAAAATAAATAATAAATAAACGCTGGGCGTGGTGGCTCACGCCTGTAATCCCAGCACTTTGGGAGGCTGAGGCAGGTGGATCACCTGAAGTCAGGAGTTTGAGACCAACCTGGCCAACATGGCGAAACCCCATCTCTACTAAAAATAACAAAAAAGTAGCCAAGTGTGGTGGCGGGCGCCTGTAATCCCAGCTACTTGGGAGGCTGAGGCAGGAGAATTACTTGAAGCTGGGAGGTGGAGGTTGCAGTGAGCTGATGTTGCGCCATTGTACTCCAGCCTGGGTGACAGAGTAAAACTCTGTTTAAAAAAAATAAAATTTCAGGACCCTCTAAATTTATTATAGCAAGGGGGAAATTAAGCCTTGGAGACTGAACTACATAACCAGTATGTATCTTTCCCAAAAAAGACGACTTCTACTAATCAGGTTGTTGTAACTGTGCATTAAACCTTATGAGGAAAGATGTTGAAATTACCTAAACTTTCTCTGTATAAACAATCTCAAACTTCTACCCTTTGGAACACTGACTTCTGTTCTTTAGAATCTCTGCTTCCTGGGAGGCTGTCCTCAAACTTTGCAATTGAATAAACTCTCTTTAAAACTAGATTCTGACCTTTTTGATTATTTTAGGTTGACAGTGGCAATCTACCATGTGCCAAGGATTATGCCAAAAGGAGGGATGCTTCTTAAGTAAAGGTTTATGGTCTGTTTTTGGAGATATAAATGGTATATAAGTATGATGTAAATAGTATAGAGGATTATGAGTTGCCAAAAAAAAAAAAAATACTCATGGGGGAGGTGGGACTTTAAACGGATGTCTTAGGAGTGGCCAGGCTTATATATTTTATTTTTTGATTTTAAGTTTCATGAAAGTAGACCTAATTTATCAAATGGCTACTTAATCTCATATTAATTGCTTAAAACAAATGTAAGAGAAAAAAATCTTTATGTTGTTCTCTAGTCTGTTTTATTTTAGGGCTTTATTTAAAACACAGTTTGTGATTTGGTGTTGAAAACGGTCACATGTGCTTGTTAATTGAAGAAGTTCCTGTCAGTTGAAACACTCAAGATTCAATAGATGTAAAACTGAAAAAATAACTTATGTCATGTTTATCATGCTATAACCTCAAGTTATGTTAATTACTTGTGATTTATTTTATTGTAGAACATGGGCCTGGAATTGATATATTCACACCTGGTAAACCTGGAGAATATGACTTGGAAGGTGGTATATGGGAAGATGAAGATGCTCGGAATTTTTATGAGAACCTCATTGATTTGAAGGCTTTTGTCCCAGCCATCTTGTTTAAAGACAATGAAAAAAGTTGTCAGAATAAAGAGTCCAACAAAGATGATACCAAAGGTAAATTCTAGAGAAAAAATATTTACATTAAGTGCTATAAGAATTAGCTTCAAAATAGTATTTGTAAAAAAAAAATATATATATTGTAGTTACTAGTTTTGTAATATGAACATTGAGTCATTAGAGTAAATGAGTGACAGAATTATATGGAATGATGGAGCATTAAAGGATGATAATTGACATACTTTTAACAGTGCTGATACATTTAAGTTAATGTGAATTAATTGGAAAGTGTTTGTTTATAATGTCTTGTAGTGAATTCAAGTGAGGTCTTGGTAAGATGCACATTTCCCCCAGGTATCAGATTGTTAGGGCAGGTGTTAGCTCTATGATGCTCATTACCTGTACTGCCCTTTCTAGGCTAGATAGAACCAACTCTTTGAGAAGAAGAGTGACTTTAGAGAAGTCAGAGCTTTTAGGTCGTTAATAGAGTGGGAGTTTCTGAATGCCGGTTACATTGTGTTTCTCAGGTTTGTCTTACATTTGCTGCTGCTATTCTAATCTAACTCCCATCCTCTCTCACCCGGGTTACTGTAATACCTCCTACCTGGTTGCCCTGTATTTGCTGTTTCCTTCTATGCATTCTTTTTTTTTTTTTTTTTTTTTGAGGCGGAGTTTTTGCTCTTGTCCAGGCTGGAGTGCAGTCATGTGGTCTCAGCTCACTGCAACCTACGCTTCCCAGGTGCAAGTGATTCTCCTGCTTTAGCCTCCCAAGTAACTGGGATTACAGAAGTGTGCTGCCATGCCTGGCTAATTTTGTATTTTTAGTAGAGATGGGGTTTCACCATGTTGGTCAGGCTGGTCTTGAACTCCTGACTTCAAGTGATCCACCTGCCTCAGCTTCCCAAAGTGCTGGGATTACAGGCGTGAGCCACCGCGCTCAGCCTATGCATTCCTAAACGTTAATTTTACTCTCCTGCCTACCTGATGTCCTTGAATAACTTTACATGTACTTGGAATATAATTTAAAATTGTTAACATTGTCTCTAGGACCCTGCATAGTTTCTCTCAGGTTTGCCATTACAACTCTATTACCCTTAATTTGCCATCCTTCTCAGTCTCTGAAATGGGCCCATCTTCTTGCCTTCTTGCCTTCCTGCATTGTTCTGTTTTCTGGTTGGAACCCTCTCCCACCATACCCTATTTGACTACCTTATGCATATTAGTTTAATTTCCTCAGATAAATTGTATGTTTTTTGAGAGCAAGGGTCACATTTTAAGCTTTTTTCAGAATGTTTGACAGCTTAGCGTCATTCTGAACATGTAGCTGATTAGTAGATGTTTTAGTAGCCAGACATCAGGGGACATTGGGGAGTGACTGCATGCTCCATGTGGGCAGGAGTTTTTCTCTGCTGTACTCACAGGTATATTCCTGGTGCTTAGAACAATACCTAGCACATAGTAGGAATTCAATAAAAGTAGAATGAAAAGATGAATGAATGAGAAAGTAGAAGTCTGTTTTCATCTAGAGGTAGCAAAACTGATTCATACTAGTTAGAGTTTTCATCCTCCCAAATAAGATATGACATCAAGTATCAGTAAGACATTTCTGTGTTCAATGCATAAATTAGGAGATTAGAGACTATAAGAGATGAAGCTGAGAAATACCATACTTTCAATTTAAGTATACATTCCTGAACTCAGGTTTTATTGGCTTTTGTTTTTTATTTACGAGAATTTTATTTGATTTGCGAAAACACAAAAGAAGGCTGGTATAGTGAACTTGGATTTACCTATCACTCAACTTCAGTTATTAATATTTTGTCAGTTTTATTTAGCTAAGGTTTGGTTTCTCTTCTTTTTTATTCTTCCAATTTTGCCTTTTACCAGTTACTGGCCATTTTCCTTTGTTGTGTTTCATTTTTTGGTTTTCTCTAACCCTTCACATTGAAATGATAAGGATATTTTCCTAATTGGTCTTTCTACATCTACCCTTTTCTGACTTTCTAATTGATTTTATATATTGCTGCTAAGTTAATTTTCACATCAGATCCCTTTTAAATATTATCCCTTGCATAAAGGAGAAAGTCTCAACTCCTCATCTGGGAGTTTGAGACGCTTTTTAATGTGAGTCCACTTTAATCAGCCTTTTTTCCCCCTCATCTTTAGCATAGATAGATCCTCACGCCATGTAAGTCCTCATCCACACAATCTCTCTCCATCCAGTCATCCATCCATCTCTTCAGTTAACAAATGGTATACATAATCAGAGAAGATATAGCCTTCGTTCTCAATGAGCATAATGTATATATTTTTTTGAGACTTAGTTTCGCCCTTTTTGCTCAGGCTCAAGTGCAGTGGTGCTCTCTCGGCTCACTGCAGTCTCCACCTCCTGGGTTCAAGCAATTCTCCTGCCTCAGCCTCCTGAGTAGCTGGGATTACAGACATGTGCCACCATGCCCAGTTAATTTTTGTATTTTTAGTAGAGATGGGGTTTCACCATGTTGGTCAGGCTGGTCTCAAACTCCTGACCTCAGGTGATCCTCCCTCCTCGGCCTCCCAAAGTGCTGGGATTACAGGGGTGAGCCATCATGCCCAGCCGAGCATAATGTGTTTTATAAAATCTAAATATATTAACTTCAGTTGCCAGGTATACATGCAGCTTCTAAAAGAACCTGCAGATTTTGTGAGTCTTAATCTACTTTTGTGCAGCAGGATTTTCATATGACTTTGAATTTAGGTATACTTGTTTGTTTTTCAACAGAGGCAAAAGAATCTAAGGAGAATAAGGAGGTATCAAGTCCCGATGATTTGGAACTTGAGTTGGAGAATCTAGAAATTAATGATGACACCTTAGAATTAGAGGGTGGAGATGAAGCTGAAGATCTTACAAAGAAACTTCTTGATGAACAAGGTAAAGAACTAATTTACCAACTTTCATTTTTAATTGGTTTTTACACACAGAGCTCTTGCCTAAGAATATAGATCTTTTCTCCTTAATTCTGTATTTTTTAATTCCTTGTTTTTCTGTTGTTTTCAGTCCATCACTGTTTTCAGAATTTGATTTATAACAGGACACTACATACCCAGTATTGTGTGTCTACAAACTTTAATGATCATCTAAATTTTAAATACCTTAGTTCTAAATAATATTTTTTATTTTATTTTTTTTTCTGAAACTAAGTCTCACTCTTGTCCTCCAGGCTGGAATGCAATGGTACGATCTTGGCTCACTGCAACTTCTGCCTCCTGGGTTCAAGCAATTCTCCTGCCTCAGCCTCCCAAGTAGCTGGGATTACAGCTGCCTGCCACCATGCCCAGCTAATTTTTGTATTTTTAGTAGAGATGGGGTTTCACCATGTTGGCCAGGCTTGTCTCGAACTCCTGACCTCAGGTGATCCGCCCGCCTTGGCTCCCAAACTGCTGGGATTACAGGCATGAGCCACCGCACCCGGCCCTAAATATCTTAAAATATACTTTTCTCGCTACCCCTTCTGTGATAGAATAAAGATACTTACACTTTTCTGAGAACTTGATAGCATTCTCCTGATTGATTTAATTCTATGACATAATCTTTACAAACAACATAAATGTATTTGAAAGTTATTCTGAAATGATTACTAGGTGGGAATATGACTAGCTTATCAGTTCATCTGTTAATTTTGTCTGTCTTTATAATTGAGTTGTGTTTGTATTCAGTAATACAAATATTACATTTATTCCCTAAATGCTTCTTATCGAGTTTTGAGTTGATTAGCTAGGATTCCTTTATTTATTTACTTTTTTGAGACAGGGTTTCACTCTTGCCCAGGCTGGAGTGCCATGGCATGATCATAATTGACTGCAGCCTCAAACTCCCGAGCTCAAGTCATCCTCCTGCATCAACCTCCAAGTAGCTGGGACTGTAGACGTGCACCACCACACCCAGCTTATTTTACTTTATTTTATTTTGTTTTATTTTATTTTATATTTTTTAGAGACAGGGTCTTGTTATGTTACCCAGACTGGTCTTGGACTCCTGGCCTCAAGTGATCCCCCTGCCTCAGCCTCCCAAGGCCCTGGCATTATAGGCATGAGCCATCACACCTGGCCAAGATTCTTTATTAGAAGGATACCTTCTGTCAATATTGCTTTTCTCTCTGTTGGCTTTACCCTATCTTACTGCAGATTCTTTCTCTATGTAAACCAGCCACCCTCCTTAGAATTACATGAAATAGGGAGGCTTAGTTCTTCAAAGGCAAGAATTGGGAGTGCTGTTAATGGAAGAACATGGGGGAAGGGATGCTGGGCAGACACCAATAACATTTACCATAACACTGCATGCTTTTTCTGACCAAGTTTTTGTGCCTAATGCAAAAAGTTTGACTTTTATAGTTGATACCTGAAGGACTGTAGTGAATTGATGTTATGATTCTAGAGTTACCTAAACTTTCTAGGATAATATTCTAAAAAATGACTAATGTTTTCCTGGGCACAAAAATTGGTCTAGATTATCTATTTTCCAAATAATTCATCATTGGATGTTTTTATTCTGTGTTCTCTTTTTTTTTTAACCTATTTAAAAACTAATTTTACATTAGAACAAGAAGATGAGGAAGCCAGCACTGGATCTCATCTCAAGCTCATAGTAGATGCTTTCCTACAGCAGTTACCCAACTGTGTCAACCGAGATCTGATAGACAAGGTATTGGTATCTCTGTGTAACTTTATTCAAGCACATGGACCTTGTAGGAGTCCTCTGATAAGGAATGTCTATGGTTTTTAGACTGTTTGAGCTACAAAGTCCACCATTTCTTCAAATAAAGTCTTAGATGGGAATTCAGCATAAGCAGACAAAATTGGATGTAATTCATAGATGCTCTGTTTGGGTAGAGAATTGGCTGTAGCATCCTGTCCTGTTCATACATGGATCCCATAGTTTGGAAAATATTGTTTTAGATCAAAGGTGCTAAAAGTATGGTTTCTGGATTTTTAATGGCTTTGAGGCACTTCCTGGGGTTCTGTGAGGTCAAAAATTCTTTTGATGATAATACTAAGTTTTTTTTTCTTGTGTGTGTTTTTTTTTTTTTTTTTTTTTGAGATGGAGTCTCACTCTTTCGCCTAGGCTGGAGTGCAATGGTGTGATCCTGGCTCACTGCAACCTCCACCTCCCAGGTTCAAGCAATTCTCCTGCCTCAGCCTCTCGAGTAGCTGGGATTACAGGCACGCGCCATCATGCCGGCTAATTTTTTTGTATTTTTAGTAGAGACATGGTTTCATCATATTGGCTGGGCTGGTCTCGAACTCCTGACCTTGTGATCCGCCTGCCTTGGCCTCCCGAAGTGCTCGGATTACAGGCATGAGCCACCATACCCGGCCGATGTTTTTTTTTCTTTTTTATTGTTTTGACATTTGCAAAAGTGATGGTGGGTAGAGCTACTAGCATTTTATCATGATTCAAGGTAGTGGTACCAAATTATACTAGCATTATATTTTCACCATGCATTTGCAATTAAAAAAACAGTGCCACTGTCACTTAAGAGTCTCCTTGTTGAGTCCATACAAATGAGTTTTTTTTTTTTTTTTTGAGTGGAGTCTTGCTCTGTTGCCCGGTCTGGAGTGCAGTGGCACGGTCTTGGCTCACTGCAACCTTTGTCTCCCAGATTCAAGTGATTCTCCTGCCTCAGCCTCCTGAGTAGCTGGGACTACAGGCGTGCACCACCACGCCCAGCTAATCTTTTTATTTTTTATTTTTTTGAGACGGAGTCTTGCTCTGTTGCCCAGGCTGGAGTGCAGTGGCATGTTCTCGGCTCACTGCAAGCTCCGCCTCCCGGGTTCACGCCATTCTCCTGCCTCAGCCTCCCGAGTAGCTGGGACTACAGGTGCCCGCCACCATGCCCGGCTAATTTTTTATATTTTTAGTAGAGACAGGGTTTCACTATGTTGGCCAGGCTGGTCTTGAACTCCTGACCTCACGTGATCCACCCACCTCGGCCTCCCAGAGTGCTAGAATTACAGGTGTGAGCCACCGTGCCCATCCAAGGAGCGATTTTTATTATGTTTCAACCTTAACTACACATGCCTATAGTCTCAGCTGCTTGGCCGGGAGCTGAGGCAGGAGGATCCCTGGAGCCTGGCAGAGCAAGGCTGCAGTGAGCCATGATTGTGCCACTGCACCCCAGCCTGGGTGACAGAGTGAGACCTTGTCTCAGAAAAAAGTCTGTCCAGGTGGTAATGGTCATCTAGATAAATTCCCTGTTTTATGAAATTTTAGACAGGGGATTGAAGACAGTTGAGTTTCTTTTGGAAGAATTCTCCTCTGTCAGTTAAGGCATCTTGGAGAGAGAGAGAGAGCGCCATTTCCTGCACTTGTGAAGAGAAACAAGGGTTGGTCAGAGAGACCTTCACTGAGGCCGCTTATCAGGCTTTCCAGTTTTCTTAGTTCAAATGAAGTACTCAGCATCCAAAGAGCCATATTTTGGGGTATTGCTTTCTAAACCCTAACATTACCAAATCTGACTGTCGACACTAAACTTTTTTAGTGAATGTGGGGGCACACTTCTTCTTCTTCCATCTTCTTGGGTATAATTTGTGCCTGTCTCTTTCTCTTTGCTCATTCCCCTTTACTGCTTTTTGGTTATCCTTATTAGCATTAGTAATTTTCTTGGCTCTTGGTAACTATTCTTGCTACTTTTGAGCTCTATCAGAAAACTTTCCTGATACTAACAATACTAGTTTCTTAAAACCATTTTGAAATGTTTAAGAACAAATAAAAATATCATAGTAGGCAGGATTTCTGCTCTCCGTAACTAATTAGAGGTTTTTAAAGAAAAAGTTTACTTTTTCCCAATAGGCAGCAATGGATTTTTGCATGAACATGAACACAAAAGCAAACAGGAAGAAGTTGGTACGGGCACTCTTCATAGTTCCTAGACAAAGGTAAGTGTTATGAAAGAGAAATTTATTAGTGTTTTTACTCTGTAGTGCTGGCTGTAAGATCAAAATTCTTACCTCTTGAAAAATATTGCTTTTGATTTTATTCACTCTGTAGGTCATTAGCATTATTAGCATATTTTTTAGAACTTGTTTCCCATTAATTTTTGTTCATTGCTTGTTAGCTCTAATGGGAATATTTCTTCTGATATCTAATTATTTTAAAATAAAATGTTTAAGAGTAGCTTAAGAAGAAGAAGAAGAATTGCTAGAAGCAATTGTTTGCATTTTTGCCTCTGAGGAAAAAGTAATAAATGGAACATAATTTTTTTGGAGAGTTTTTATTTTGTGCAAAGATGAGGGTAATGTAATATATTTAGTTCTCAGATTTATGTTTAAATGAAAAATTTCAAGTTATTTAGGTAATTATGATAGTTAAGAGGTATGATAGCCTGCCTAGAGACTCATTGGATAGAATTGGAAATCATATTAATGATTATGTTGCTAGTAATTCAAGACACACATTCAGTTGCATAATGCTTTTAGAGAATTCTGATGCATTATATTACATTAAATTAAAATTTCTACTTCACCTGAACATTTCAGGACCACTCATAGACTGTTGACCTTAGAATCCTGGAGGAGATCTATTTCTGTTTATTCAACAATAAATAATTAAATAATTTTGTTAACTATTAAGATGATTACATATGACATAGCTCAGACAGATACTCTCCCCAAAAGATAAGGATTCTGAGGGATTTCAATGAAGGTTTCTTGAGCAGAATTTTAATGTGGTTCATTCATTGATGGAGGCCCATGATCTCTTGATAATGGTAAGATTTCTCAGTGAAACCAAATCACTACTTGCCTTTTTTCTTTCATATTAGTTTTTTAATCTCCTGCTAGCGTTATTCATTTTAGTGGGGCAAGGGAGAGGGAATGTGTTAATGTAGTGAGTAGGTAATTAAGAATTATGTAATTGAAGAAGTCATATGGATGAATATTTTTATAACGTAAAATTACATACTTCAGGCCAGGCGCGGTGGCTCAGGCCTGTAATCCCAGCACCTTGGGAGGCTGAGGCAGGTGGATCACCTGAGGTCAGGAGTTTGAGACCAGCCTGACCAACATGGTGAAACCCCATCTCTACTAAAATACAAAATTAGCTGGGTGTGGTGGCGCATGCCCATACTCAGCTTCTCATGAGGCCATGGCAGGAGAACCGGTTGAACCCAGGAGGCGGAGGTTGCAGTGAGCCAAGATCATGCTATTGCACTCCAGCCTGGGCAACAGAGCGAGATTCCATCTCAAAAAAAAAAAAGGTTGAATGAAGTGACAGTTTATCATAAGTATTAAAAAAAGATGCAAGTATTCTAGAGCCATGAGAAATAGATCTCGTAGTCTTATATACTTGCAGTATATAAATACAATTAAGTATATTATAATCAGCCTGATAATCAGGAAAGATTGTTATATTATTCTAAAATGTACTCATTCATTAAATAATTCGTTACGGGTCTGCTGTGTACTGTGATCCATGCTGGAGATACAGTACAGGGGTGAACAAGATCATCTTAGTTCTTGTATTCATACAGCTTACACTTTGGAGAGGAAGACAGAGGAGTAATTCTAAGTGCCTTTGTCAAGAAGAAGCGCAGCATGCTTTGAAGCATAGAGCCAAGTGGAACTGACTGATTGAGTCTGAGGAGTCAGAGAAGACTGCCTGGAACAAGGGTCATTTAATCTGAGGCCTGAGAAGAATGGACTAGTTAAGGGATGGGTGGGGATTGGGAATGTAGGGAGAGCATTGCTGACAGAGGCAACAGTATGTGCAGGGAGTCAGAGACAGGAAAGGTCATGGCATCAAACTCTTGGTAAAACCTCTTTTTTTTTGATACAGAGTCTCACTTGTCGCCCAGGCTGGAGTGCAGTGGTGCGATCTCAGCTCACTGCAACCTCCGACTCCAGGGTTCAAGCGATTCTCCTCCCTCAGCCTCCCGAGTAGCTGGGACTATGGGCTCCCACCACCATGCCCGGCTAATTTTTATATTTTTAGTAGAGATGGGGTTTCACCCTGTTGGCCAGGCTGATCTTGAGCTCCTGACTTCGTGATCCGCCTGCCTCAGCCTCCCAAAGTGCTGGGATTAGATGTGTGAGCCACCGCGCCAGCCAAACCTCTTTTTTAAATTCTTTGACATTGTCCTCTAGACTGTAAACTGCAGGAAGGAGGCCATGTTTACTGCTTTATACCCAGCACATAGCACAATGCCTGTCATGTGAAAGGTGATAAAATTAGGTAACAAGATATGTAATGCCCTTTCTTAGCTAGCTGGTTTTCAACTTCTTCAGTCTTAATTCTAACCATTCTTCCTTCTGCAGAATCTTGATCTGTAATGGTTTCTCGAATACTGTTTGCTCTCTCTACTCCCATACCTTTGCCACTGCTTTCTGCTTTTATCTGGGATGTCCTTTATTTTTCCACTGGAAATCTTTGACTCACCTTTAAGTCTTTAACAAGAGCTATCCTCTATGAACAGCCTTCCTTTTTTCCCTTGTGTAGATAGAGGTATTCTTTATAGCACTTCATGTCTTCTTACGAAGAATTAGGCACATCATATTCCGATTGTTGGTTTGCTTCCTGTCTCCCTGCCAGACTTGAAACTATCACTCTTTTTTTTTTTTTTTTTTTTTTTTTTTTTGAGATGGAGTCTCACTCTGTTGCCCAGGCTGGAGTGCAGTGGCGCGATCTCGGCTCACTGCAAGCTCTGCCTCCCAGGTTCACGCCATTCTCCTGCCTCAGCCTCCCAAGTAGCTGGGACTACAGGCGCCTGCCACCACGCCCGGCTAATTTTTTGTATTTTTAGTAGAGATGGGGTTTTATTGTGTTAGCCAGGATGGTTTCGATCTCCTGACTTCGTGATCCACCCGCCTCGGCCTCCCAAAGTGCTGGGATTACAGGCGGAAACTATCACTCTTTAGGAAAGAGGACTCGATCTTTTCATTTTGTGCATCTCCAACACCAAGTATAGTGTTTGGCATATAGTCCAAGCTTAAAATATTTGATGAATTAATCTTGGCCATATGCAGTTTTAAATAATAAATTATAAGGCTCTATAGCTCAAAATCCAGAAGTAGAAAACATTATATGATGAAAAGTATCCTTCTTATCCTTGCCTTCCCATCTACCCAATTTCCACTCCTTTCAGTAGGAAATCAGTATCTTGATGCTTGTGTATTCTCCCAAAGATTCTTTTGCGTATACAAGAAAATACAATTATAGATTCTTATTTCCTGTTTTTAACACAGTGGGCAGCTGATACATATCTTTTCATCTCAGGACATAAAGATTTCCTTTGTTCGTTATTTTAAAGCTGCAGTGTTTCTTTTGATGAATGTACTATATTTAACTGTTACAGACAGTGCCATATTTGAATTTGTACTTCCTCTTTTCTCCTCGTGGTTATGTTAGCTAATGGTTTACCTAGTTTTTTCCTACTAAAAAAACTCAGCTTTTAGATTTATTATTTATTCTCTTTAATGATTTTCTTACTGTTATTTTTGGCTTTGTTCTTTATTAATTTCTTCTTTTGGGTTTCTTCCATTTATTTTGTTTCTTTTCTAGCACTTCATATATGAGTTGTCCATTGAGCATAGTTTAAGCCATGTCTCTTGGTTCTTTTTTTTTAGAGACAGGGTCCTGCTCTGTTGCCTAGGCTTGAGTGCAGTGGTGAGATTACAGCTCACTGCAGCCTCAACCTCCCAGGCTCTAGCAATCCTTTCACGTTAGCCTCGCAAGTAGCCGGGACCACAGGCATGAACCACCATGTCTGGCTAATTTTTACATTAATTAATTTTTTTTTTTTGGTAGGGTCGAGGTCTTGTTATATTGACCAGGCTAGTCTTGAACTCCTGGGCTCAAGCAGCTCCTCCTGCTTTGGCCTCCGAAAGTGCAGGGATTACAGGCATGAGCCGCTGTGCCCAGCCATCTGTTAGTTCTGACATGTGGTAATTTTAGTTTTATTTCCTTTGTGACCCAAGGAATTTCAAAATTTCCAGGTAGAGGGGCTTTTTGTTTTGTTTTGTGGCTTTGTCAATAATTTATATTTTTATTGCATTTTGATTAGAGAATACTGTCTGGTTTTTTTTTTGGAATTTTTGAAGTTTACTTTGTCTCTAATTATATAGTCAGTAAATGTATTGATCAGGTTTACATGATTAAATAATGATTCAGATCTATTTTCTTACATTTTTGGCCTCTTGCCCAGAGGTCATGGCCTGAGAGGTGGATTAAAGGTGTGACTCCCGATGTGTTGCATTTCTCCTAATAGCTACTAGGATTCCAGCTTTCTGTATATTACTGTTGTGTTATTTGTTGTATAGATAAAACTTAATTGTGAATTACATACATCTTTTATCATTATAAAGTGTTCTTCTTGGTCTTATTTAATGCCTTTTGGCCTGAATTCCAACTCATCTGATATTAATGATTATGATTGCTGCCTTTTTTTTTTTTTTTTTTTTTTTTGAGGTGGAGCCTCACTCTGTCACCCAAGCTGGAGTGCAGTGGTGTGATCTCTGCTCACTGCAACCTCCACCTCCTGGGTCCAAGCGATTCTCCCACCTAAGCCTCACATGTAACTGGGATTTCACGCGTGTACCACCACGCCCGGGTAATTTTTTGTAGTTTTAGTAGAAACGGGGTTTCACCATATTAACCAGGCTGGTCTTGAACTCCTGACCGCAAGTGATTCACTCGCCTTGGCCTCCCAAAGTGCTGGGATTACAAGTGTGAGCCACCTGCGCCTGACTGCTGCTTTCTTTTTATTTGCGTTTGGTATACATGTGCCTTTTATTTGGTATACCTGTGCCCTTTATTTTATATTCCATCTTTCAGAATCATTTTATTTTAGTTGAGTCTCTTTTATGTACAATTGAATTGAATTTTACTCTCAGACATATTCTGAAAGTATGTTTCTTTTAATGAAAGTAATTTAGGCTATTTATGATTGGCTTGAGTTCTGTAATATTTTCCTTTTTGGTTTAATTCCTAAAAGTCTTTCATTATGTGGTCTTTTATATTTTTTAATTTAGTGTGCACGCATGAGTGTATGTTTCTTGGTTTTAGGAAGGTTTGCATTATTATTTTATTACTTTATGATTGTAAGTTTGCTTAGCGATTATTTATTTAGACAGTCTCTGTTGTTTTCTACCATGAGCAGTGGTAAGATTAGTTTGTGGTGTCTTCTTTTCTTACTCTCTTTAGTCACTCATCTGATATTAGTTAATAATGTTTTCTTCCTTAATATTTTCCTTTTTACTCTTAAATGTACTTATTCTTGTATTTGAGTGATATTTAACTTTCAGCATTATTTCAGTAGGCAAGCGGCACACCTGACTTCCTGTCTGCTTTTCCATCCCCCCTCACTTATTTTTATATTGATGACATATCCTGATAGGGAATAAAACATTTATATTAAAATTTCTTGCTCTAATGCCCTTATTTGCTGAAGGTCATTTTCATTTTTTTTTTTGAGACTGAGTTTTGCTCTATTGCCCATGCTGGAGTGCAGTGGCGCGATCTTGGCTCACTGCAACCTCTGCCTCCAGTTCAAGCGATTCTTCTGCCTCAGGCTCCTGAGTAGCTGGGATTACAGGCGCCCGCCACCACGCCCAGCTAATTTTTGTATTTTTAGTAGAGACAGGGTTTCATCATGTTGGCCAGGCTGGTCTTGAACCCTGGACCTCAGGTGATCCGCTCACCTCAGCCTCCCAAGGTGCTGGGATTGTGGGTGTGAGCCACTGCGCCTGGCCTGAAGTTCATTTTCTAATAGTTTTCTCAAAAAGTGTTCTTGGGGAAAAATGTGCCTTGAATTTCTCTATGTTCAGAATTGGGGCTATGTTACTTGAATGGCTGCTTGACTGGTTATAGTGGAGAATCCACAGCTCATACCTTTTAACCCTAAATATCATGTAGGTGTCACTCAATAGTCATTTGGCATTTGCCATTACTGTGTTGAAATCTAGGCGAGCTGGCCTTTTTTTTTTCCTCTCTTAAAATTAACTTGGTCATTTAAATGGCTGCCCAAATAATTTTTTCTCTAATTAATCAAGTAAATCCAATAACTTTCCTAGGATAAATAGTTCTTGGTGTTGATCATTCTGGGTCCTTCTTCATGCCCTTTCCATTTTCATATTGAAAAATTCAGGGAATTTTTAAAATTTATTTATTTCCTCAAATATATTTAAATACTAGTTCTGTTATCTTGTTTTGGCTTTCTTTTTTAGGTACCCCAATGATGCATATGTTGACTGTGCTGTGGTTGTTTTCTGGCGATTTTATTCTTACCAGTCACTGTTTTCAGTGTTGTCTTTTTCTTACTCAACATTCTGCAAAGTCTTTTCCCTCTACTACTCTTTTTCTCATTTCTTCTTTTAGTTCATTCAGTTCTTTAAAAAATGCATGGAAAACTGGCCAGAATTTTCATATATTTCATGGCAGTATGTTTCTGGAGAATTTTGTTTGGTAGGTTTTGAGGAATTTGTTCTTTTCATTCTTATTTTTTTAATTTAAAAAAATTGACAGTACCTTTGCACTGATGCTGTACTTACCCTCTTTTTATTACGTATCATGAGTTAGATTTGCTCAGCTTTGTTATTAACAGGTTTCCTTTTTTTTTTTTTTTTTGAGATGGAGTCTTGCTCTGTCGCTCAAGCGCTGAAGTGCAGTGGCCTGATCTTGGCTCACTGCAAGCTCCGCCTCCTGGGTTCACACCATTCTCCTGCCTCAGCCTACCAAGTAGCTGACACTACAGGTGCCCGCCACCACGCCCAGCTAATATTTTGTATTTTTAGTAGAGACAGGGTTTCACCATGTTAGCCAGGATGGTCTCGATCTCCTGACCTAGTGATCTGCCAGCCTCGGCCTCCCGAAGTGCTGAGATTACAGGCGTGAGCCACTGGGCCTGGTCAACAGGTTTCCTTTTTTTTTTTTTTTTTGAGACAGAGTCTTGCTCTTCACCCAGGCTGGAGTGCAGTGGCATGATCTCGGCTCACTGCAAGCTCCGCCTCCCAGGTTCACGCTATTCTCCTGCCTCAGCCTCCTGAGTAGCTGGGACTACAGGCACCTGCCACCACGCCCGGCTAATTTTTTGTATTTTTGGTTGAGATGGGGTTTCACCATGTTAGCTAGGATGGTCTCGATCGCCTGACCTCGTGATCCACCCGGCCTCCTAACCCTTTTTAAGGACATATTTTTGCTATTGTTTCTGATGTTGGTTGCTTTGGGGGCCGTTTCCCTGTTCTGCATGGGCATTGCATTTCCTCATGGAGCTTTTGCTTAGTCTTTGCCCTGCCTTTCCAGATGCTAAGCATTTGTTGTATGTCAGGAATATGGGTTTATCATTGAAAGGTAGAACTTGAGGATAAGTGGTCAAACTATAGAGAAACAATATGTGTTTATCATTGAAAGAAGCATGTTGATGGCATATTTGAAGATCTGCCCTGTTTGGGCCAGCTTTCCCTTTTCTTTTCATTTGCTTATCCTGCTGTAATTTACCTTGAAGCAAATCTGGACAGATTGGGTGGCTTCAGCCAGACTTTTTTTTCGAAGTTCATGTTTTCTTACATTAATATCATTCTAGCTTCCTATAACTGAAAAACTATTTTCAGCTTTATTGGTGTGAGCCATTACTTTTCCTGAGAAAATGGATAAGCCAGGATAGGTTAGGGATGTTGGAGGAACAACAAACCTCTGAAATCTGAGGTTCTCGAAGTCCTCTGGGTTTGGTGGGCTCCCTAGACTACCCTTTCAGGAGGTGACTCAAGGATCCAGACCACTTTCATCTACGTCACTAGCATGGCTTCTAGGTGGCCGTGGCATGGGAGACAAGCGTGTGAACTCAGCTTAGTCCTAGATACTTTGGACAAGAAGTGCCAAGTCATTTTTGTTCTTAGCTCATTGTCTAGGACAACAAGAGCATTTAGAAAATGTAGGGAAGCATGTGAAGCATTGGGGTAACATTGTGTCCCTTGCTACGGAAATACTCACAGGGATTTGTTTTCAGTCAGTAGACTTGTGTTAATATTTCTCTAGTAAGTTACCTTGTTGAAAACAATAAAAGAAATACTCATGGTTTGGCTGGTAGAGGACAGTCTTTTGAAAGATGTAATTTATACATAGCTTTGACTGTTACTCTTTACATTTCTATTCATTTATTTTTTAAGAGACAAGGTCTTGCTATGTTGCCCAGGCTGCTCTTGAACTCCTGGCCTCAAGCAATCCTCCTGCTTCTGTCTCCTGAGTAGCTAGGATTACAGGCATGTGCCACTATGCCTGGCACATTTTCATATTTTATATAGATTTTAATCAATTGAGCTATAATTTGTTCAAGTAGATTTCTAATTTTTATACATTTCTCATGTTAATAGTATTCTGTGTAGTCTTTTCAGGTTTAAATTAAACTTTCTCAATCTTTTTAAAGTTCATTACTGTGGGATTTGGAAAGCCAATGCCTCTGTTTACAGATCTGTAAAATGAGGTAATAGGGAGGGACTTGGACCAGGTTGACATTTCCTGGTTGGCTGTATATTTTTATTGATCAAAAAAGCCTTTCATTTTGAAGGTCTTATTTTGTCCTTCACTTCCAGGTGCATTTCTACCCTACCTGCAGGATTTGGCTTATCCCTGAGGGGGACGGCTTGATCCCTAGGGAGCCTGGAGTAGAAAGATAGTAATCAAGTGCCAGTCAATTCCCTGTCATCCCATTTCTGATTCTTCCAGACCCCATATATTCACACAGCTTTCTCTATCCTTTGAGTGACAGTGATGTCTGATAGCCCTCAAGCGAGGAGATAAGGGGAGTAAAGAGAGTTGAGTGTAGAGTAAGCAGGCAGTGAAGTGGTATTGGAGGTAGCAAGTTACTTTGAGTCTTTGGAACACTTGGGGCAGGCTGGAACACTTTGGGAGAGGGGGCAAGGAAATACTATCACCTTTTGGCATCCTGGCCTCGTCCTGCACCCATACTCACCCAGCCTGTTTGAGACTCCTTCAGTCAGATTCTCGTCCTCCTCCCTGGCATGCTCCTTCCTCCCTCCTGTAATCCCAACACTTTTGGAGACCAAGGCAGGAGGATGGCCTAAAGCCAGGAGTCTGAGACCGGCCTAGACAACATAGTGAGACCCCATCCTCTACAAAAAATAAGCCAGGCATAGTGGCATGTGCCTGTAGTTCCATCTACTTGGGAGGCTAAGGTGGGAGGATCAGTTGAGCCCAGGAATTTGAAGTTCGTGCACTCTGGTCTCACCACTGCACTCCAGCCTGGGTGACAGTGAGACTCTGTCTCTAAGAAAATTACAAAAATTACAAAAATAAACACAGCATAACAACTATTTATATAGCATTTACATTGTGTTAGGCATTATAAGTAATTTGGTATCTTTTGGGTGGGGGTAGTAGTTCCTGGAACCAGTCCCTCATGGATACCTAGGGACAACGTCCCTAATGACATATGACGTTGAGCATCTTTTCATGTGCTTAGTGGCCATTTGCATATCTTCTTTGGAGAAGTATCTATTCACAGCCTTTGCCCCTGTAAAATTGTATTTGTCTTTTTATGAATGAGTTCTAAGAGTTATTTATATATTCTAGGCACACATCTCTTATCAGATACATAATTTGGAAGTATTTTCTCCCATCCTCTGAGTTGTCTTTTCACTTGCTTGGTAGTATAATTTGCAGCACAGTTTTTAAAGTTTGATGTAGTTCATCTTTACAGTTCTTAAAGGTTTGATCTGAAGCAGTGTTTTAACTTTCAGTTGCATTCTTCCTTCATTAAA
Source organism: Homo sapiens (assembly GCF_000001405.40). NCBI lineage: Eukaryota > Metazoa > Chordata > Mammalia > Primates > Hominidae > Homo > Homo sapiens. The sequence goes on along the minus strand of NC_000010.11, from coordinate 11,987,840 downwards.
TAAATAATGATGAAAAAAAATCTCAAAACACTATCATTATATCCTTTAGCCTTTTTTTTTTTTTTTTTTTTTTTTTTTTGAGGCAGAGTCTTGCTCTATCGCCCAGGCTGGAGTGCAGTGGTGTGATCTCAGCTCACTGCAACCTCTGTCTCCTGGGCTTAAGTGATTCTCCCGCCTCAGCCTCCCTAGTAGCTGGGACTACAGGCATGCACCACCACTCCTGGCTAATTTTTATATATTTTTTTAGTAGAGACGGGGTTTCATGATGTTGGCCAGGCTGGTCATGAACTCCTGACCTCAAATGATCCACCCGCCTAGGCCTCCCAAAGTGCTGTGATTACAGGCAGGAGCCTCCGTGCCCAGCCTCTCTTAGCCTATTAATTTGGACTCCACTGAGATGTAGAAATCCCCTTAGATATTTGCATTTTATTTTATAGGTAATTATAACATAGCTATACACACAACTAATTGAGATTTCACATTAAGTGTTTATATCTTTTTTTGTCTTCAACTTTTAAAGTTTAAGTGCAAGGGTCCATGTGCAGGCTGTGCAGGTTTGTTGCATAGGTAAACATGTACCGTGGTGGTTTGCTGCGCAGATCATCTCATCACCTAGGTGTTAAACCCAGCCTCCACTAACTCTTCTTCCTGAGGTGTTTATATCTAAAGTATACATATGTGTCCATCACTCCGATCAAGATATATGACATTCCCAGCACCTCAGAAGGCCCCTCACCTAAGCCAATATTTAAGTTTAAAGTCAATCAGTATCAGGGAAAGTACGTAAGAATCTCTTCTTTCCTTATGTTTAAAGTATAGATGCACTTGGTATTGTTTTAGCCAAGTGTTGGCTCTTTAGATTCATGTAAACAGAATACTCTTCAGAGGTGAAGTGCTGCCCTTGATTCTTGAACAGCTTTTCCCTATCTAGCTTTTAGGAGAGTTTGCTGGACTTTTTGTAAGAGATTTTCTGATTGGACCTCCTCCTTCACTCAATTTGGAACTGTGAGAGAATGTTTCCGTGAAATCTGTTAGTATGTTGCACCACCTGGTGGCGCTGTTGTGTTGGAAACAGCAGCATTGTGGAAAAGTCAACAGGGCATTTGGTTGTCGATTTCAGAGTAAATGACCCCAGTCTTTTGCTTATTATATTTCATTTTTTAGGAATCATCTTCTGCTTTAGTGTTTCCTATGAAATCCTTTGTATTCTTTAATTGCACCGTAACAGCGTTCTTTCACATTCATTTTTTTCCAGGCATTTTTGAGCACAGAGATAAAATTAAATAGCTTTCAACAGTCAAATTCTTCAGATTTTAAAGAGAAAAAGAGAGCTAGACATTTCTTTTAGAAAGCCAATTGATTAGGAGATGAAAACCCATAAGAATTTCTTCTTTCCCTCTCAATAACAAAAGTGTTTGTATGTTTCTGCTCTTGTTTCTGCTTGCTTGTAGTTAGTGACTGTTTACTGACTTGATAATCATTAACTGCTGGTAGGATACTTAAATGTGTGATTCAGGAGACCTTAAAAACATAAACAAGATTTTATTATTTAAGGGAAAATAGCATTCTTTTAAAGTGATTCATCGTTCATTGTTGGTAAACGTAATTTTCGCCATCTTATGAGATTATAGAATTCCGTTTTCAAAGGAAGGATCTAGGCCGGGCGCGGTGGTTCACGCCTGTAATCCCAGCACTTTGGGAGGCTGAGGCGGGCGGATCACAAGGTCAGGAGATCGAGACCATCCTGGCTATCACGGTGAAACCCCGTCTCTACTATAAATACAAAAAATTAGCCGGGCTTGGTGGCGGGCGCCTGTAGTCCCAGCTACTCGGGAGGCTGAGGCAGGAGAATGGCGTGAACCCGGGAGGCGGAGCTTACAGTGAGTGGGGATCGTGCCACTGCACTCCAGCCTGGGCGACACAGCGAGATTCCGTCTCACAAAAAAAAAAAAAAAAGGAAGGATCTAATTATTTTTCAGTTGCTTTTCAACACTCAAATTAGATGAAATACCCATCTGGCTTAAATTTTAGCACAAATTTGCAGTTGATGAAAATATTTTATTTTGTGTTATTAATAACTTTAATGTGACTGATGTGACTTTAATGTGACTGATGTGACATTTTGCACTCCATCCCATTTTTGAGCTTGTGTGCCCTTTGGAAGACAGAACACGAAGAAAGCATTCTTTTTTTTTGTTTGTTTGTTTTTTTTTTTTTTTGGAGACGGACTCTTGCTGTGTCGCCCAGGCTGGAGTGCAGTGGCGCAAGCTCCGCCTCCCGGGTTCACGCCATTCTCCTGCCTCAGCCTCCCGAGTAGCTGGGACTACAGGCGCCCTCCACCACGCCCAGCTAATTTTTTGTATTTTTAGTAGAGACAGGGTTTCACCGTATTAGCCAGGATGGTCTCCATCTCCTGACCTCGTGATCCGCCAGCCTCTGCCTCCCAAAGTGCTGGGATTACAGGCGTGAGCCACTGCACCCGGCCAGCAGAAAGCATTCTTAAGCAGGACTAACGTTGAATAACTATATAATTGATTATTTACAACATAAAGGATTTTATTTTGTGAAGTAATGGATGAACAGACACAGGACTTCAAGATTTAAATAGAGCAGGGTGGTATTTTGTATCAACTGTCCTTTTTATAGGGGTAGAGGATTCCGAGAAAATGGAGTATCTAACTTTACTTCCATAACTCCTTAACTCATAACTTCCTTAACTCATTTTAAAAATCCCTATTAAAGCTGAAAGCATTTTCCCGTGTTGTTACTTCATTGATCTGTGCCTGAACAGGTAGCACAAAACTGTCTTGCTTTAAAATGCATAGCTGGACCGGGCGCGGTGGCTCACGCCTGTAATCCCAGCACTGTGGGAGGCCGAGGCGGGTGGATCACTTGAGGTCAGGAGTTCGAGATCAGCCTGGCCACCATGTTGAAACCCTGTCTCTACTAAAAATACAAAAATTAGCCGGGCATGGTGGCAGGCACCTGTAGTTCCAGCTGCTCGGGAGGCTGAGGCAGGAGAATCACTCGAACCTGGGAGGCGGAGGTTGCAGTGAGCTGAGATCCTGTCAGTGTTCTCCAGCCTGGGCAACAGAGTGAGACTCTTTTTTTTTTTTTTTTTTAAAGAGCAAAGATGGCTATATCTGCCTTTTTGTGGGGGACTCAGTAGATTGGGCCACTTAGAAGAAAATGAAGTGAAGTGCAAGGGACAGACCAACAAGTGGAAGAAAAGTGAAACGATCTTAGACTAGGTAGCACGAGGAAGGAAAAAAAGAAGAAAAGTGAAATGACATAGTTTAAGAATATTTGATGCTGTTTTATCACAAACTTTGTTGAAAAATACATTGAAAAAGACAACTAAGATAAAAGTTTTAGAAATTCAAGATCTGGTTCCTGGAAAAATCAAAATAGAGAAGTGTGTAGAAAATATATTTTAAAGAAAAAGAACATTAAAAAGTTTAAGAAATGAGCAGATGATACGCTTAAAATATTTTAAAACCACTTGAAAATCTCAGTGAAACATAATTTTTTGAAAAATATACACATTTTCAAAATTCCTTCAAGATAAAATACCCACATAGAACGGTAATCATGGAAGAAAGCGTTAAAAGTTATTAATTGATCGGGCACGCTGGCTCACGCCTGTAATCCCAGCACTTTGGGAGGCAAAGGCGGCGGGTCACCTGAAGTCAGGATTCCAGACCACCCTGACCAACATGGAGAAACCCCGTCTCTACTAAAAATACACACTTAGCTGGGTGTGGTGGTGCATACCTGTAATCCCAGCTACTCAGGAGGCTGAGGCAGGAGAATTGCTTGAACCCGGGAGGTGGAGGTTGTGGTGAGCCGAGATCGCGCCATTGCACTCCAGCCTGGGCAACGAGAACGAAACTCCGTCTCAAAAAAAAAAAGTTATCAATTAATTTCATCTTAAATAGAATAAAACTAGGAAGCTTAACTGAGTATTTTTAGCCTTTTAAGGAAGAAATAATATCGCTTGTTCCAGAGCATAGAAAACGTGTTATTTCATATATTAAAAATTCTAAGAAGAAGGAACAAGAAAATCACAAGCATTGACCAATCTCACTTTTGAGTGTCAATAAAAAAATTCCAAGTAAAACACTAGCAAATCATATTTAATACATAGTATATTAAAAATAAGAATCCAAGGCCGGGCACGGTGGCTCATGCCTGTAATCCCAGCACTTTGGGAGGCTGAAGCAGGTGGATCACGAGTTCAGGAGATCGAAACCATCCTGGCTAATACAGTGAAACCCCGTCTCTACTAAAAATACAAAAAATTAGCTGGGCATGATAGCACGCGCTGGTAGTCCCAGCTACTCAGGAGGCTGAGACAGGAGAATGGCGTGAACCCAGGAGGCGGAACTTGCAGTGAGCCGAGATCATGCCACTGCACTCCAGCCTGGGCGGCAGAGCGAGACTCCATCTAAAAAAAAATAAGTAAATAAGAATCCAGCATGACCAAAGAAGATTGATCTTAGGAATGGAAGGATACTCTAACATAGGAAATCTATTAATATATATAACATCAGTAGGAGAGTAAGTAACTATGTGAATGTCCCATTAACTGCTAAAAGATATTTGATAAATTAGCTTTTGCTTGATAAAATGTAATGTTATTACAACAATAAGATGCTACTTCCTTAATATGGGGAAGAATGTCTTAGACTAAATGCTAACAGTATACTTAAGAGTGAGTTACCAGAGATAATTCATTTATCTAACAAATGTATATATTGAGCACCTGCCTATGTTCCAGGCACTGTTTGAGTGCTGGTGAACTGTCTGCCACGGAACTGAACAATTTTGGTGGGTAGGGGTAACAAATGAGTTAACCATAACAAATCAATTATTTACTATGTTAAGTGGTAAATTCCATTTTTAAAAGTAGTGCAGGTAGGCCTGGGCACAGTGGCTCATGTCTGTAATTTCAGCATTTTAGGAGGCTGAGGGGGGTGGATCGCCTAAGGTCGGGAGTTCAAGACCAGCCTGACCAACATGGAGAAACTCCATCTCTACTAAAGACACAAAATTAAATGGGTGTGGTGGTGCATGCCTGTAATCCCAGGTACTTGGGAGGCTGAGGCAGGAGAATCGCTTGGGAGGCGGAGGTCGTGGTGATCCAAGATGGCGCCATTGCACTCCAGCCTGGGCAACAAGAGTGAAACTCTGTCTCAAAAAAAACCAAAGTGCTTTGTAAGGGGATTGGGAGGGATATGATGGGTTAGGTGCAGTTTCCTTGGAGTATTCGGAACGGGTCAAAACAGGGAGACTGGGACTCCCTTTAGGGAGGGAGTAAACAGTATGGATGTTTAGGGAAAGCATATTCCAGCCCAAGGCAAGGACCATTGCATAGGCCCTGAGTCAGAGCATCAGTGAGGAGCCAGTGGGCCTGGTGCAGGCAAGCTGGGAGGTATGGGAGAAGAGGGTGGATCAGTCCCTGAGGTCATGGAGATGCTGTTTGCTGCTGTAGAGTTTATACCTGGGTCTCCTCACTCCCAGTGCGTTGCTTTGCCATCTTGTTACCTTTGCTGTTGTACCTGTACTTTTCTGACCTGAAATTGTGGCAATGGCAGCAAAAGAACCTCCGCATAGATTTAAATCCTATATTTGAATTTGATAATTGATCATGAGCTGAAAAAGAATACTTTATTTGTTAAAATGGATGTGGAAAATGAATAACCTTAATATTCTAACTAAAATTTGTAAATTTAATCTCAGTGTAAATTAATCTGTTATGTAAGAACATTAAATATTCATTTGCTCCAGGCTTTTTTTTTTTTAATAGTAGGAACAGTAGGGAAATTATTACATGTTTATAAGCGTAACTTATAGGGGCTGGGCGCAGTGGCGCACACCTGTAATCCCAGCACTTTTGGAGGTCAAGGCGGATGGATCACAAGGTCAGGAGTTCAAGACCAGCCTGGCCAATATGGGGAAACCCTGTCTCTGCTAAAAATACAAAAATTAGCCGGGCACGGTGGTGCTTGCCTGTAATCCCAGCTACTTGGGAGGCTGAGGCAGAAGTATCGCTTGAACCCGGGAGGCGGAGGTTGCAGTGAGCCGAGATTGTACCACTGCACTCCACTCCAGCCTGGGCGACAGAGCGAGACTCCGTCTCAGAAAAAAAAAAGAGTACCTTACAAGAACACCTTATTTTTGTAATATCTTTAGAGAGTGGTGGGACCTACTTATGTGCATTTTCCATGTGACAGCAGCTTAGACTTTAATTGATAAAACCTTAAAAATATTTTAAATCAACATTTAAATTTTATCATTAAATGTTTTTATATAATGGATTGTAGTTTTCGCTGTTTCTTTAAAGAAAGATATGGTTTATTTTAAAAAATTATTGCGGTAATACTACAAAGCTATCATATTGCTGACTTCTCTCAGCATCTGTTCCCTTATTTCTGCAATGGTGAGTGTAATATCCACCTTATAAAGTGGTTATTAGGTTTAACAAGTTGAGTTATATATGTAAGAGGCCTAGGACAGGGCCCAGCACATTAGTAAAAACTAATTTGCTTAGAAATTATAATAGCCCAAGTTTTTGAGGAGTACCATGTTTTTGAGGCTTTTAGGTATGAATTTAGCCAGTTTCCTCCATTTAACCTTACCTTTCTTCTTTATTTCAATTTTTTTTTAAATCTTTTTGAGACAAAGTCTCGCTCTGTGGCCCAGACTGGAGTGCGGTGGCATGGACTTGGCTCACTGCAACCTCCACCTCCCAGGCCCGAGTAGCTGGGATTACAGGCAGGTGCCACCGCACCCAGCTAAATTTTGTATTTTTAGTAGAGATGGGGGTTTCACCATGTTGGCCAGGCTGGTCTTGAACTCCTCACCTCAGGTGATCCACCTGTCTCAGCCTGCCAAAGTGCTGGGATTATTGACCACCATGCCCAGCCTAACCATACCTTTCAAATTTATTTCCATCCTTCTTTTTTCAGTGTCCCTTTAGCTAAGGGTTAATGTATCCATCTGAGGAGCTTTCCAGATCGAATTATGTGTTTTTTTCCCTGACCATCAAACATTTTCATATATTATTGTATGGTACAGTGATGTGCTCAGCAATAATCTTTTTTTGAGATGGAGTTTCGCTCTTGTTGCCCAGGCTGGATTGCAATGGTGTGATCTCAGCTCACTGCAACCTCTGCCTCCTGGGTTCAAGTGATTCTCCTGCCTCAGTCTCCCGAGTAGCTGGGATTGCAGGCATCTGTCACCACGCCCAGCTAATTTTTATATTTTTGGTAGAGATGGGGTTTCACCATATTGGCCAGGCTGGTCTCCAGGTGATCTGCCTGCCTCAGCCTCCCAAAGTGCTGGGATTACAGATGTGAGCCACCGTGCCCGGCCTCCACTCAGCGATAATTAAGACTCGTATGATTATTTGTGTCTGTTCTAATTGGCTTCAAGCTGTCATAATTTTTAAGCTCTTGTAATTTTATAGTTTTTAGCTTCCTCTCTCACTGTCAGCTCCATTATTTGCTGCTGTCAGTTAAGCTGCTTTTATCAGTTGCTCATTACTTCTCATCTTCAGAGTCTGATCTGCTGAGTGTTGAATCATTGATTAATCAGGTTTTACAAAATAACATCTATGGCAGGAATGGAAAATAAATTTTAGCTTGTGTGTTGATTCCAACTAGTAGTGGCCACCTGGAGTGCTGTGCTAGGCAGGATTCTGGAGCATCATTCCTGTGTAATGGGAAAGAGTGCTTTGACAATGGAAGAGGGTGGCAGTGTGAGTGCCACATATTTGCCATTTACTGTCCAAATTAAGATCCTGAATGAAGATCTGAGTGGGTTCTGTAATGAGTTGAAATACATAAATTAGTATTTAGATTTTGTAATATTATTTTGCCTTCGTAGAGGTTTTTTCAGTTATTGAGTACCATTCATTCATTCATTCATTCGTTTGATGGAGTCTTGCTTTGTCACCCAGGCTGGAGTGCAGTGGCGTGATCTGGGCTCACTGCAACTTCTACCTCCTGGGTTCAAGCAATTCTCCTGCCTTAGCCTCCCGAGTAGCTGTGACTACAGGCGCATGCCACCATACCTGTCTAATTTTTTTATTTTTAGTAGAGACGGGGTTTCACCGTGTTAGCCAGGATAGTCTTGATCTC